>NC_000002.12:192035072-192338102 GCF_000001405.40 Homo sapiens
CTGGGCACTGATGTTGAGAGCATCAGGCAGGGTATAATGTTATGTTGCAGTAACAAACACCCTCAATATCTCAGTGGCTTAAAATGACAACGATCTTTTTTTTGTTTGTTTGTTTATGCTCTATATCACCCAGGGATCCTGGATGACAAAGCAGTCACCTACTTGAACACTGCTAATTATGAAGTCAGAAAGAGGAAAGTTTGCAGAGTTTTGTATTGGCAATCAAACATTCAGCCACAGGTCACAGTCTAGAACCAGACACATCAGTGTCCTCAACTGCAAAGTAGCCAGGAAGCAGCATCCCATAACACAGTCCTATGTCCACTGTTTTGGAGGTAGGAAATTGGAAATATTCAGTGAGTAGCACTGTGAGTAGGGCAGTAATTTCATTTTTTAATTAAACAAATGGAAGATGGCAGCTCCTCAGTTTTTTCTTCTATGGTTTATTTCTGATGTCTTATCTTAATTAATATATCCTGATATCTATTTCCCATTACTTAGTCTGTCCTTTTTCCCAATATCCAGTTATTTTCAGTAAATATTTTCTGTCATTACACCCAGCAGTCTAACTTTTTGCGACTTCAGTGTCTATTCTCATTCCTCAGTCCCAAATCCATTTTCTTTATTAGATTTATCTGAACTCCTGCAGCTCTTTCTGTCTGCATCACACAACTTAACCTTTAATTACTTGCCTACTGGGCATTCTACTTGGTTCTGCCTTTTATCAGCTGAATCAGAACATAACTTTCTCTCACCACCTCCCTCCCCTACTCCAAATTGACTTTACCTCCTGATCCCCTATTTCCAAAGTGGTTCCATTATTCTTCTCAGTGCTCAGCCTTAACATCTTCGTTTCTGTTTGACTTCTAATCTCTGGCATCTCATAATTGTGCAGTTACCAAACTCTCCCCCATGAACTCGATGTGCTCATGTGGATCAAATGACACAGTAAAAGTGAAAGCACGTTGTAGACTCCAAATACAAGAGGATACTGCTCTCTATTCCTTCAACTATTTTTCATTCCTTATTTATTTATTCATCATTCATTTATTCATGTAGTTACTCAAGACCTAAGTGTTTTCTTGGAACTGTGTTTGTTACTGAGGAAGCCACAAATTAAATATAAGTCTGCTCTTCAAGAGGTTACATTCCAGTTAAGGAGATTGCATATCCATATTTCCAGAAGTACCAATGTGATTGAAGCAAGGGAAATTGCTATGGGATATCTGACCAACTGGATATTCTGCTGGAAGAGCAGAATGCACTTCAAAGACTAGCCAATAAAACTCTCATGTAAGATATGTTTTTCTTTTTGTTTCTATTTAACTAATGAATAGAACCTCAGTGATTTAAGGAAAGGCAGGCCCATGATATGGAAAGAGAAGGGGATGATGATGATATTCTGGAATGGTCGTGCAAGGCTTCAGGAGGAAGTGAGAGTGATGATTGAATCATATAACTCCTGAATAAATATCTGGAATAAACATCTCCAGAATAAAACATCTGGAGGATTCTCAGTATACTTAGAATAAAATTGAGCCTCCTCATGAAGGCCTACTAGCACCTTCATGATCAAACCCCTTTTCAACTTTGACCTTCTTTCTTATTTTAGGGGCTCCTGACACACTGACCTCTGTCAGTTCCTTCAGCACACCAGGCTAATCCCCAGTCTTGCGCCTTTGGACCAGAGGTTTTCTTTGCTCAGAATACTGTTTCAACAGATCTTTGCATAGCTGGCTCTCGCTATTTGACTAAAATGTCAATCCTCAGAGAGGTACTCCTTAAATATCCAATCTTAAGTAGCATCCCTTTCTCCCAGGATCCTGTTTTTCAGAACTCTGTTTTCTTTTTAAAACACTTGTTATCTGAAAGGATGTCGTCTGCTTGCTTGTTTGTTCATTTCTTTATTGTCTATTCCATCTCACCCCTTCTCAGGATGTAAGCTGTTTAAAGGCAAGGACCTTATCTGTGTTACATGCTGTATTCCCAGGGCTCAGACAGAGCATGACCTATCGTATGTACTAAATAAATATCTCCTCATACTGTAAAGCTTTCCTGACTCTAATCTCTCTTTTGGGGACCATTACCAAGCCTCATTACTGGCTTCTTTCTCTTTAATGCCACTTTTACTATATAGCAAATGTTCTGGCCAGTGGGATGTTGCTAGAAGTGCAGAATGCACTTCTAAGACTAGCCAAAATAAAGAAAGAAAGAAAGAAAGAAAGAAAGAAAGAAAGAAAGAAAGAAAGAAAGAAAGAAAGAAAAACAGAAAACAGAAAAAAAAACCTCTCACTTAAGTTTTTTTTCTTTCTATTAAATTAATGAATAGAACCTCAGTGAGGTTCTATTTCCTTAGAAATAGAAGGAATTTCTAAGGCAGGTCCTTCTGCCTTAGAAGGAAAGGCAGGTCCACGATATGGAAAGACCCTTGGCCCCTGCAGGACCTTGTATTAGGCTGCCTGATTGGCACCATCTTCTCTGACCTATGATGAGAGTAACAAGTGTGTGTGTGTGTGTGTGTGTTTGTGCGTGTGTGAGAGAGAAAGAGAGAGAGGAGAGAAAGAGAGAGAAAGAGAGAGAGAGAGAGAGAGAGAGAGAGACCTCTGAGAATTTGGCACTTATCTGTTATAGCATTTGATATTGCTTACCCTATCATACATGGCAACAAAATCTTCCATCATTTGGCTACATGCACTTTTCTAACTCTTCAAGTACTATACACATTCTCAACCATAAACTGTTCTTTCTTTTGAAAGGACAGTTTTTCTGTCTTAATTCTACCTTGACTTCTATCCTATAGCATTCTGCAGTGAAAAGGACATGGACCTTGGAATTAAATTTGAGATTGAACTCAAGATCCACCTCAACCTACCAACATATATTCGGCATGTTACCCACCTCTCTGAACCTTGCTTTCCTTCTTTGTACAGATGGAGGAAAGTCACGACTAACCATTCTGTTGTGAAAGATTAAATAAGATGGTGCACATGACTTCATATATGTTCATTAATACATTTCTTTCTGTTTCTTCAAGAAACTTCTTTCCCTTCTTTACACATGTAAAAGTCCTTTGAGTCTTACAAGTTCTTCACTATGCCCCAGGTTTTCTAGAGCACATTTGGAAAGAATGTTGACAGAACAGGTAAGAGTACGACCTCTGGGTTCAAATTTTGGCTTTGACCTTTAAGAGCTAAGTAAACTTAGACAAGTTATTTAACACCTTTGTACCTCAAGTTCATCATCTTTAAAACTGGAATACTAATAGTACATAACTTGTACTGCTCTTTTGAAGGTTCAATGAGTTAAGGAATGCAAAGTCCTTAGAAGAGTGTAGTGCACAAAGTAAGCACTACAACAATAATACTTAGTTGTTATTTTAAATTTTTTTTTTAAACCTTTCAAACCTAACCATCCCAACTCCTACTGACACTGCTCTTTTCTTTCTTTTTTTATTTATTTTTTTGAGGTGGGGTCTCACTCTGTTCTTAGCTCACTGCAGCCTCTGCCTTCCCCAGCTCAAGTGATCCTCCCACCTCAGCTTCCAGAGTAGCTGGGACTACAGATGTCCACCACCATGCCTGGCTAGGTGTTTTTGTAGATACAGGGTTTCACCATGTAGCCCAGGCTGGTCTAGAACTCCTGGACTGAGCAATCTACCTGCCTCGGCCTCCCAAGATACTGGGATTACAGACTCGTGAGACACCCTGCCCAGCCTCCTCTTTCTATACTTAAGATACTTGTTGTACCCATTGTATTGTTTTCCTTTTAAAAAGAAAGCCTTCCTGACAAGTAACTTTGCAAGCTACAGTTTTTAATATCCACACTGTTCTATATCAACCCTTCTAGCCAATGTTATAGGCAGCAAAAATAGAATTTAACTAAATTACATTTAAAAAAATGCAAGCCTATGGCCCTCATGCACTCTACTTTATTGCCATGTGGTTTTTGGTCCTTAATGCAAAGATATTTCCCGCCCCCCCCATCTAACTTAACATTATAGTAGAAGACTTTAATTTGAAATGGTGTCTTGGTTTAGGGCAAACAAAAATTGAGGAAAAGACAGGCAATAGACGAATAACTGGGTTAAAGTTTTCAGCAGCCTGATTATACTAATGAAGGACTACAAGTCCTATTGTGAGGATTTATAGGAAAAAAAGGCAAATATAACTAGAAAATTATTGGTTATTTATCAATTCTATGAATAAAAAAAGAAAGAACAGAATTGGTAGTAGGAAGTCTTATAAGTAAATTTATCTCAAAGTCAGATTGGATGTTCTAAACCCATAATTATAATTGCTAGGCCCAAAATTGGATATGTTGCTATTGCTTTGTACATTTTTCTCTTTGCTTCTCATTTGTGTTTTTAATCAATTAATTACAATTAAAGCAAGGATATTTATCATAAAACTTTGATCAGACCAATGTTTTCCAATCTGTGCAACTTATATAACAGCAATTTCTTTTATTCTTAGTAGTAAAATAAAATATTTACAGAAAAATAAACTATGTTGGGAAATGGTACTTCATTGCCACAAACCAAGTCATCTAATTTCCCAACTGTTCATAAAGTAGTTTTGAATAAATCGGAGAATGGTTCAGGAAACACTATCCTAGGACCATCTCAGGACACCAGGCATTCATTCTTATTCTGCCATATGAACAAGTGATTTATTGCTCAATAACTACTTAGTTTTGCTGTCTGTGAATGTGAATTATAATTTTAAAGATTCACATTAGATATTTTAGAGATGCTTCCTAATCTCTGGCTGAGATTATTGATAATTGAAAGGAGACTAAGGAATACAGTGGCCATGTATTCCTCATGTTTTACTCCTGTACTGGCTCATATAACTATAACAATGATATGCCTGGATACCAGTATTCAAGTTTTAACAAAGAATCACCTACAATTTTACAAGTTTATCAGTAATAAATTATATTAAGTTCCAATATAAATAATTTTATGTAATTTATAAGCTAGTAATCAAAGATAGTGTCATTTATTTTATTCAAAATCATATTAAATGTACACAGTATACATTTTTGTAGAATTCAGAACTGGTAAAAGTATTTCTTGATGAACTAGTTGTCTTTTCTAACTACACCATAAGAGTTATTTCTTTTCTTTCTCACCTTGAATTCAGAGCACTCAGAGATAAGCCTTTTGATTAATAGTAGCAGCTTCTCTTAGCCTTGGTTTTCCTTTAAATCTATTATTTCTATCCTGCCTTTTACATTCTTCCTTCTCCTCAACATTGTCTTTTTATTCAACTCGAATTTTCTCTCTTATTTAAGTATCTTCATTATATGTTTACCTTTTGTCATAGCTGCTTCAAATCCTTTGAAGAGCTTCCTATTTTCTGTGCTTTCTAAAGAGGTGACTAGCTAATATGAAAAACTTGTTTCTGTTAATGTATAAGGATTAAAATATAAAGTGGGAAGTCTTGCCTTCTGGACATGATAGATTATCTTCTCAAATTTAAAAGTCACTCTGGAAATTTTAGGCCAAAAAGAAAGAGAAAAAAATGCCACTAGGACCACTGGGGACGCTTTGGGGGTAGTTCTTTAGAGCTCACAGTAGTTCTTCTGCTATGATAGATGATGTTAGAGCCCAAAGAAACCATAGAAACCTTATAGAGCAACACCCTCATTTCCTGAATTTTACATATGAGAAAATGAAGTCCAGTTGTAGCATAAGAATAGATACATAGATCACCGGAATAGAATGAGACTAGAGAAATAAATCTTTGTATACAGGGTCAATTGATTTCAATAAGGGTGTCCAAAAAATTTGATGATGAAAGGCTAGTCTTTTCAACAAATGGTGTAGAAACAACTGGATATCTACATGTAACAAATGAATTTGGACCCCTTCCTCACTCCATCTGCAAAAAATACCACAAAATGGATCACAGACCTAAATATAGAGCTAAAACTATAAATCCCTTAGAAGAAAATATTGGAATAAATATTTGCTCCCTTGGGTTGAGCAAAACCTTCTTAGATATAACAACAAACACAAGCAACAACAAAGTAAATTGGAGTTCATCAAAATTAAAAAGTTTGTGTTTCAAAGGATACGGTCAAGAGAGTGAAAGGCAATTCCACAAAATAGAGAAACTACCTGCAAACCATATATCTGCCAGGGAACTTATATTTAGATTATATATATTTTTAAAACTCTTACAGCTCAATAACAAATAGACAAATCGCTGAATTTAAGAATAGACAAATGATCTGAATGGATATTTCTTCTAAAAAGATAAACAAATGTTCAATATACAAATAAAAAGAGACCAACACCATTAGACCTGTGAAATGTGAATCAAAACCACAATCAGATACCACTTCATACCAACTAGGATAGTAATAATCAAAAAGACAGATAATTACAAGCATTGGCAAGGATGTGAAGAAGTGTGGACACTCATACGCTGCTGGTGGAATATAAGTGTTGCAGGTACTTTGGAAAATAGTCTGGCCCTTCCTCAAAAAGTTAACCATAAAGTTACCATATGACCTAGCAATTCCACTCCTATGTATATACCCGAGACCTGAAAACATACATTCCCACACAATCTCGTACATAAATGTTCATAACAGCATTATTCATAGTAGTCAAAAAGTAGAAACAACCCAAATGTTCCTCAACTGATGAACAAATAACCCAAATATGGTATATTCATACAGTGGAAATACTTTTCATGCTAGGGAAGCCGTAGAAAAGGAGAGAGATGGGGGATCAGCGGGTCAGTAAAACATATAACGTTTTATCAGTTAAGTTTACTTGTTTTATATGGGTTTGGTTTGGGTGCCCCAAAACAATTACAGTAGTAACATTAAAGATCACTGATCGGCCAGGTGCGGTGGCTCATGCCTGTAATCCCATGGGCTGGGGGAGGTGGATCACCTGAGGTCAGGACTTCAAGACAAGCCTGACCAACATGGTGAAAACCTGTCTCTACTAAAAATACAAAAATTAACTGGGCGTAGTGGCAGGCACCTGTAATCCCAGCTACTTGGGAGGCTGAGGCAGGATAATCACTTAAACTCAGGAGGCGGAGGTTGCAGTGAGCCGAGATCACACCACTGAACTCCAGCCTGGGCAGTAGAGTGAGACTCTGTCTCAAAAAAAAAAAATCACTGATCACAGATCTTCATAACAGAAATATTTGAGAAAGTTTGAAATATTGTGAGAATTGCCAAAATATGACATAGAGACATGAATTGAGTACATGCTGTTGGAAAAAATGTGCTGGTAGGCTTGCTTCACGTGGTGTTGTCACACACTTTTAATTTATGAAAAATACATTATCTTTGAAGTGCAGTAAAGCAAAGCACACTAAAATGAGGTATGCCTGTACTGAACTCAAGTTCCAGCGGGCACCTAAAAGTGTGATAGGAAGTGAAATCCGTGAAGAGGTGTGCTACACTCCAAAAGAACTACCTAAGTTCCTAACTTATACAAAAATCCCAAAAACATGTGTAGGAATGGACACTAGGGTATGGGATAATGGTGAAAAGAATATGAAGTTATGAATCAGGCTGAATTTATTGATATGAGCTCACTTGGCAGATATTTAATATTGCATTTAATATTGCAACTTGGGGAATTTGAAAGAGCTCTGGCAGTTTGGTTGCTTGGTTGACTGAAACATGGAGCAAAAGGTGGTCCACAGTGAGCGAATTAGAAATGCTAGGCATGCCTCAGTTTAACACAGAGAAAGAGGTTCAAAGGCTTAGAGAGACTGGAATGCTAGAGTCAATTTGTCATTTAAGACCTACTCACACACACCAAAAGGGTCCAGAAGATGTACCTTCTACCCATATTGTTAGAAACAGATTGTGAGGAGAGCCACAACATCCTTGAAGAGCTCTAGGACCACTCTTCTCTGCAGGCCAGAACTTAAATGGGAATAGCAGTTACTGACTTGGGAAATCTAAATGCAATTGGAGTAATTGGGTCTCAGGGCAGCAGGGGCCAAGTGGCAGTACTCGACTGCCAAAAGCAAGGTCAAAAGCAGCAATCAGAATAGCCAGATTCATGGAGACCTATGGTATTGGCTAGTGTTCCTTGCTAGTGTTTTAGGATCATGGTGTTCCTAAAAGTGAAAAAATAGATGGAAAGCCTACTAAATCTTACTTGATTTGATAAGCAGAAACGTTCTTAAACAAAAGTCTAGCCTACATCATAAAAAAAGAGAGTCATGGTCCCTTAATCAAGTCTCAGACTAGAGCCAGTTTATGGACACAGAACCCTTTGCATAAAGGGGAGGTCAGGTCCCCTTGAGAAAGGGCCCTGGTACAGTGCCAAAAATGTATACTGTTAATCTTTCTCTGAGCCTTCCTCAAAAGGACCTTCAGCTGTTTGCCAGAATAACTGTGCATTGGGAATCAGACCTTTCACGGACTAATGGACACTAGCTCTGAACTGACACTAATTACAAAAGACCCAAAACATCACTGTGGTCCACAGTCAGAGTACAGGCTTATGGAGGTCAGGTGATCAGTGAAGCTTTAGCTCAGTTCCATCTCACAGTGGATCCAGTGGGTCCCTGAACCTACACTGTGTTTCTTTCCTCAGATCTGGAATGTATAATTGGAGTAGACATTCTCAGCAGCTGGCGGAAACCCCGCATTGGTTCCATGACATGTGGAATGAAGGCTACGATGGTAGGAAAAGATAAGTGGAAGCTGCTAAAACTGCATTTACCTTGAAAAATATTAAACACAAAGAAACACTACATTCCTGGAAAGACTGCACCATCAAGGACTTGAAAGACTCAGGGACGGGGTGATTCTTATGTTCTCACTCAACTTGCCTGTGCGGGAGTCAGATGAATCTTGGAGAATGACAGTGGATTATTATAAGCTTAACTAGGTGATGACTCCAATTGCAGCTGCTGTACTGGATGTGGTTTCATTGCTCGAGCAAGTTAATACATCCCCTGGTACCTAGTATGCAGCTATTGATCTAGCAAATGCCTTTTTCTCCTTACCTCTCAATAAGAACAACCAGAATCAGTTTGCTTTTAGCTAGTAAGGTCAGCAATATAGCTTCACTGTGCTGCATCAGGGGTATGTTAATTCTCTACCACTATGTCATAATTTAGTTTGCAGGAATCTTTATCACCTTTCCCTTCCAAAAGATATCACACTAGTCTATTACACTGGTGACATGATGCTGATTTGACGTAGTGAGCAAGAAGTAGCAACTACTCTATAGTTATTGGTAAGACATTTGCATGTCAGAGAATGAATTTTCAAGAAAATTCAGTGAAATTTCTAGGGGTCAGTATGTGGAGCATGTGAGATATTACTTCTAAGGTAAAGGATAAGTTGATGTATTTGCCTCACCTTCAACCATAAAAGAGGAACAATGCCTAGTGGGCCTCTTTGGATTCTGGAGGCAACATACTCCTTATTTGAGTGTGTTACTCTAGTCCATTTACTGAGTAAACTGCTTTTCACTAGTTTTCAGTGAGGCCCAGAACAAGAAGAGACTCTGCAACAAGTCTAGGCTGCTGTGCAAGCTGCTCTGTCACTTGGGCCTTATGATCCGGTAGATCCAATGGTGCTTGAAGTGTCAGTGGTAGACAGGGATGCTGTCTGGAGCCTTTGATGGGCCCCCTATTGGTGAATCACAGTGCGGATCCTTAGGATTTTGGAACAAAGCCCTGATATCTTCTGTGGATAACTACTCTCCTTTTGAGAAACAGTTCTTAGTTTGCTACTGGGCCTTAGTAGAGACTTAATACTTAACTATGCACTACTAAGTTACTATTTGACCTGAGCTTCCCACCATGAACTGAGTGTTGTCTTACTCGCAAAGCCATGAAGTTGGGCATGCACAGCAGCACTCCATCATCAAATGGAAGTACTTTGTATGAGATTAGGTCAAATCAGGCTCTTGGCACAAGTAAGTTACATGAAAAGAAGGGGCCTAATTGTCATGGCACCCACTCCTATTACAGGACCTTCTCTCTCCCGCCTGCTTCTGTGGCCTCACAGGGGAGCTCCTTGTGATCAGTTGATAGAGGAAAAAAGACTCAGGCCTGATTTACAGAAGATTCTGCATGATATACAGCTACCACCTGAAAGTGGGCAGCTGCAGAACTGCAGACCTTCTCTGAAACATTCCTCAAGGACAATGGTGAAGAAAAATCCTTCCAGTAGGCAGAACTTCAAGCAGTGCACCTGATTGTTCACTTTGCTTGGGAGAAAAGGTAGGACATGTGACTGTACACTGATTCATGGACTGTGGCCAATGGTTTGGTAGATGGTCAAGGACTTGAAAGGAACATGACTGGAATATTGGTGAGAAGGAAATTTGGGGAAGAAGTATGTGGATAGATCTCTCTCAATGGGCAAAAAACCATGAAGATATTTGTGTCCCATGTAAATATTTACAAAAGGATAACCTCAGCAGAGGAAGACTGTAATAATAAAGTGGATAGAATAGCCCATTCTGTAGCTACCACTCAGCTTCTTTCTCCAGCCAACCCTGTTCATTGCCCAATGGGCTCATGAACAAAGTGGCCATTGTGGCAAAAAAGGGGGGTTATGCATAGGCTCAGCGACATAGACTCCTACTCACCAAGACCAACCTGGCTACAGCCACCACTGAGTTCTTAATCTGCTAGAAGCAGAAACCAACACCGAGTCCCTAATATGGCACCAATCCTCATGGTGGCCAGCCAGCTCCTGGGTGGCAGGTTGATTATATTGGACTGCTTCCATCATGGAAGAGACAGCAGTTTGTCCTCACTGAAATAGATATTTACACTGGATATACATTTTTCTTCCTGCACACAATGCTTCTCCCAAAACTACCATCCATGGACTTACGGAATGCTTTATCCACCATCTTGGTATTCCACACAGCATTGCTTCTGACTAAGGAACTTACTTCACTGCCAAAGAAGCATGGCAATGGGTATATGCTCATGGAATTCCCTGGTCTTACCATGTTTCCTGCCATCCTATAGCTGCTGGCTTGATAGAGTGGTGGAATGGTTTTTTGAAATCACAGTTGTAATTCCAGCACTTTGGGAGGCTGAGGTGGGTGGATCACCTGAGGTCAGGAGTTCGAGACCAACCTGACTAATATGGTGAAACCCTGTCTCTACTAAAAATACAAAAATTAGCTGGGCATGTGGCATGCACCTGTAGTCCCAGCTACTTGGGAGGCTGAGACAGGAGAATTGCTTGAACCCAGGAGGTGGAGGTTGCAGTGAATCAAGATCATGCCGCTGCACTTCAGCCTGGGTGACGGAGCGAGACACTGTCTCAAAGAAAAAAAAGAAAAAAGAAAAAAGAGAAAGAAATCACAGTTGTAACACCAGGTAGGTGACACTGCTTTCTAGGACTGGTGCAAGGTTCTCCAGAAGGCTGTATGTGCTCTGAATCAGCATTTAATATGTGGTGCTCTGTCTCCCATAGCCAAAATTCATTGGTCCAGAAATCAAGGGGTGGAAATGGAACTGTCACCTTCCACTATTATCTCTAGTGATTCACTAGAAAATTTTTTGCTTCCTATTCCTTTGTTTCTCTGAATAACCCTGATTAATATACCAATATATTGATCAGTGCAGGGCTTCTTTTTCTTTTCTTTCTTCCCCCCAAGTCTGACCACCCAGTGTAGCTGTAATGCAAGCAGTTCTGTTGTGTTTTCTTTTTCCAAAAATCAACATACTTTCTGGGGAAGACAATTTTAATTGAAAGTTAAGTTGCATACTGTAATCAAATATATCATTTTTATTTTTCATCATTATTGATAATTTGATGTTATATTTGAATATCCTAAGTTCCAAATTTATGCAGATACCTGTGTTACCTGTTTTTTTTTTTTTAATTTTTATTTTTTTAGATGGAGTCTTGCTCTGTCACCCAGGCTGGAGTGCAGTGGCGTGATCTTGGCTCACTGCAGCCTCTGCCTCCCAGGTTCAGGCAATTCTCCTGCTTTAGCCTCCCAAGTAGCTGGGACTACAGGCACATGCTGCCATGCCTAGCTAATTTTTTGTATTTTAGTTGAGACAAGGTTTCACCGTGTTGCCCAGGTTGGTCACAAACTCCTGAGCTTGGGCAATCTGCCTGCCTCAGCTTCCCAAAGTGCTTGGATTACAGGCATGAGCCACTGTGCCCGGCCTGCAGATACCTATGTTTATTACAGAAATACATCACTAATTTTTGCTAATGTGAAGCTAATATTTTATTTTATTTCTTATTTTTGCCTTTTTCCAAACTGTTGTGCACTTCTCCCAGATAAACATCTCCTAATATCTGCTTATTATAAGCCCTTATGGCTTGTTAGAACCTACCATTACTTTTATTACCATGGATAATATAATTTTGATTGTAGAAAGCTCATTTCAGGATGAGCTCAGAGAATACAGTGAACTACTGTGTCAAAGACTTTGAAAGGCTGCAATAAATAAAAGAGAGCTGTGGTAAACAATCTTCAGAAGATCATCTGTCCCAAATGCATTGTCCTGATTTCTTATGTTCCATTCATAGCTTAGTGATAAAAGGATGAATGGACCCACTCTTGATTAATTTTACTTTACATTAGGGGGGCTAGAAAATCAGATATTCGTTTTCATTATTTATTGGCTTTTTTCTGTAATAAGCATTTAGACTTTCAGCAGTATTGATGTTTTGATTGGGTGTTGCATATAATTTTACAATTTGTTCAATCATTTATTAGATATTATATGCCCTGTTTGTAGGGAAATGTGTCTGGAACAGACTGATGTTGGCTGCTGAGGATGGTTCACTGATTTGTAGTTTAGATGAGTCAACACATACAATATATTACTATTTGGAAGTAAACCACAGAAGACCAGCAACAGTTTCTACCCGATTTAATACACCTTTGGGAGGACAGTTTCTCATCTAACAATGCTTATGCCTCAGAAAGCTATTTATTATGAACACTCTGGATACAGACAGTGGAAATGTTTTCAGTTAACATACTGTCTAATCTCTTGGAGTTAAACAAGAAAAATGTTTAACACAGGCTTAGAGGGGATATAGGCTTTGATAATTTTTTAGATCACAAATGTTAGGACAGTACGCTCAAACGAATTTTTTTTTTTTAGAAGTGCTGAAAATTTAGAAAGAATAATCAGAGCTTGGGACACAGAAATTGCATTCCAGTATAAATACATTATTCTTAAATTGGTTTGGCATTCCTAACAATCACCAAATAACTCACCCTCAAGATTAACTAAAAATTTTCAAGATAAGTGGTTTTGTTAATATGTAAAATATTATTAGATTCTCATAAAACACACACACACACACACACACACACACACACACAGAAAATATATCTCCAAATTTCACAATGGTTATCTTAGAGAGGGATGACATTTTCCTAAAGTTTTTGTATTTCTATTTTTTTTTAAATCACTATGATGGAATGTGTGTATTTATATTTAGAAAAAATGTAAAACCCATTTTAATATAACCATCAAAAATATATGTTATATTGGAACATAAGAGGCTTCACATCATATTTTAAGTGCTAAATTAAAAGATACAGCAGGGCATTTAATCTACTAAGATACAGATTAAAATCCACTGTCATATTTATTTTTATTTAATTTGGTGACTCTTCCCTCTTTTTCTATTTCTCATCTCCAGGAATTTCTATTCTTACAGCAGAAATAGACATTTGTAATAAGCTTTGGCTCACAGTCAGGGTTGCCACTGCCACTGCAAAACAGGCAAATTGAATTGAAGCAGCTAAAAAAACCTCAGGTTTTGGTGAAGGTATGTCTCTTCTATGCAACCTTAAGTCTAGTAACATTCTCATCTGATTGGATGCATGCATAACCATGATAAGAATAATTCAATACCTCTGTGAAAAACAAACAAATGAAAACTACACAGTCTTGAAGGGGACTACAAAGAAATATATTTTATATACTGAGTGAAAAAGAACTTCAAGGGCATCATACACAATGTAGGTGTGTTAGTGGTGAATTTCATCCCAAACTGCCACTTAAAGTCTTTGTTTTCCCATTAAAACATGTAAAATTCTATCCTGAATATATAAGATAGATACATTTGGTCTATGTGTGTGTGTGTGTGTGTGCATACTCACAATATACACTTATATACACACATAATTTATAAGAGAAGACCCTGAGTGGTAGTTAAGAGCATGGAGTCTGCCTGGCTGGCACAAATTGTGGCTCTCTCACTTGCTGTTTGGGTTTGGGAAGTTTGATTAACCTGTCTGTGCCTCAGTTTTCTGTTTTGTAACATGAGAATTACTAGTGTATTACATTCATAAGACTGTGGTGAGGATTAAATGGCTCTATAAATCTAGACATTTAGGATGGTGTCTGACACGCTTTGGAAAGGTTTGTCACACTTTGATAACTACAATGAGATTCCTATTATTATCTTTGAGACTGGGATGTTACACTGGGACATCGGAACATGGAGCAGGTATTCCCTGAGTGTGGAGACAGGAATCGCTGACTCAGAATATGCTAGAAACTGAGACATGAAAACTCAAGAAGAAATAGAGAGTGAGTTTAATGAGTGAGCACCAAAAGTTAGGCAACCTACCATTAACAGGGTGTGGCCTGCAACAAGATTTCAAAAGCAAGCAAAGATTTAAAAAGCAAGTAAAGGCCAGGTGCGATGGCTTATACCTGTAATCCCAGCACTTTGGGAGGCTGAGGCGGGAGGATCACAAGGTCAGGAGATTGAGACCATCCTGGCTAACACGATGAAACCCCATCTCTACTAAAAATACAAAAAATTAGCCGGGCGTGGTGGCGACCGCCTGTAGTCCCAGCTACCCGGGAGGCTGAGGCAGGGGAATGGTGTGAACCTGGAAGGCGGAGCTTGCAGTGAGCTGAGATAGCGCCACTGCACTCCAGCCTGGGCCACAGGGTGAGACTCCATCTCAAACAAACAAACAAAAAAAGCAAGTAAAAAGAGAAACAAGTAATGAAAACTGTTAAGTTAGTGGTAGAAATACAATCTGTACTTAGGAGTTTTGTTTCCTTTGTTCTGTTGCCATGCAGTATTTTATGATTTTGATATAAAATAGAAATTACATGATTTAAACTGCATGGCCTAATAAATATTGTAAAAACAAATAAAACACATTGAAGTTCAGAATTCTTTATCCCCATATTTCTTGGTATTCTACACCAGATCTGGGTTTGTAGCTGTCATAACCTAATTAAGTTTCATTAATCACTGTGATAGCTAGTACAGTTGAGGTATGGATACAGAGAAGAATTTAAAAGATTCTCTAGAATTTATGTGAAAACCCATTTTTTTAAATAAAAAAGGTAGGCTAGCATCACAGAAGACTCAAGGTTTTAAAGACTATTGTTTATTTTTATTTTTCAATTTTTTTTATTTTTTACTTTCATAACCCTCCTTTTTCTGGAGGGGTGGTTAGTTGTTGTTGGTGGTTGTTATTATTTGACTATTGCATATTAGAAGTGTCATTGTTATTCATTTGTCTTCCTGAGTAACATTTGAAGCTTTTAACTTCAGTTTGCAGGTTGGATTACCGGCAGCTACTGCAGAGAGAAGTTTGGATTGCAAATATGGCATTTGTTGACCCTGGGCATTGTTTAATGCCCTGTATAGACCATCGTACAGACCATGTCAGAATTCCTAGTCTTTTACTTCTAAATTTTATTACATCGTGTGAAATTTAGAAAAATATAAGCTGTTTATTTTCTTGATCAAGATAGGTGAAGAAATACAGAAAAGAAAGAAATAATGAAAGCAAACCCCAACTTTCAGATTTGGACACACCTTTGCTAAAAACTATCAACATTTTCCCCTTGAAATTCTGAGTGGAAAGATATGTGCTTCCCTAAGTCAGGAGCTGTATGTGCACTCCCCACCCCGAAACATTTTTTGGGCAAATGGAATCATTAAAGGAATGAGAGGTATCTACTCTTCAGTTCCCACTCATTGACACAAACAGAAAACGCTACTGCAGCTTTCAGAGGTGACAGCTACTGTCTTCAAGGTGGAGATAAGAGGTAAATGGAGGGAGGTCATACCTCAACTCCAGGAATCTTGAAACTAAAATGTTTTCTCAAAAAGCCATGCACACATTCAAAAAAAACCTTGGATTTTCTAGAGCAGATCTATTATCTTTTTTCTGGGTTTTTTTTTTTCATTGTCTCCATGAGTAAACTTATATTAGAAACCACACCTAAAATTGGTTACCAGTTACACTTCTGGGGCCAGAAAGCAAAGGAAATTAATAAAAGGGAAACACCCTAGGGAGAAACTGAATGAACTCTTAGATGGCTAAAATTTTGTGACTAATCAGCATCCTCTTTAAATGTACCATATCCAAGTCTGACCTTTTTACTTAGTAGAAAAACAATACAAAGATTGCAGTTTCCATTTTAAATACAATCTTTTTGTTCAATTGTCAACCAGGAGTGGTTTTAAATAAAACCACTTTCTGTATTTTCCTCAGAGGTGTCTTAATTTTCCCTATCAAACTCACAAACCAAAGGTACTAAAGTCAGCAAGACCTAATGTCTAATTTACTTATACCTATGATGAAATCTAGTGCCAAGGATCATCCATGGCCATTGCCCCACTTCAAATATTCATGAGCCTCCACAATCCAAAATGCATTAAATGTGGGCAGGTTGCCAATAACACACAATCTTCCTAATGACAGGGAGCTTTCTCAGATCAAAGGAGCAAGATGTTAAAGACTTCAAACTAAACTGTCTTTGTAAGAGACACCCAGAAAAGAAATGCCAGATCCCACACCCTGTTTCAGTTATGAAACATCAATGAAATAGAGAAAATAATAAACATTCATTCATTCCTCTTTGGAACTCATTTTTTTGCAACAACTTTGCTTCTTTCCTTTCTTACCATTGCACTCAAACACTAAGGATGTTATACACTAAAACTGGAAAATATTATTAATGCTTTCAAAGACAAAATGACTACTAAGGAGTTAATAGCATTTATGCCAATATGATATCGCTAATGGAGCCTGAGTGGCATGTAGAGAATACTACAAAAGCAAAGTTAAAACAGGGATAAAGAGCTATGAAGAATACATATAAAGCAAATATACCTAATAATTTAAGTTGTCCCTTTATGTCATTTGTCATCTGGCTGCATCTGCTCTTAAACCTGTGCACCTGTGCTCTGTTCCTGGAAATATTAGGCATGCAGCCAATTTCATACCCAGCCATTCCTATGGTCAGACCCAGCTATCAGTGCTTTTGTATGTATATGTATATTAAATCAAGTATCAACCCCCGGGCTCTGAACTACTTCTGACTGACAGAACCAACAGAAAGTTCCAGGCTAATTACTTCTAAGGAATAGTTCCCAGAGAAAAGAGTTTCCACTGACCTACTTTGGACTTACTGAGATAATTTATCAGGTAAGATAATTAAGGGAATATAAGGCTGTTTCTAAAGTGAAATCAGAAATATTTGCTGAAATCATAAGTTGGTATTCCCAATGCTATCAGATGGAGCTTTATTACTTTGCAATGAGTCAATTTTATTATATTTGACTTATTTATAAGCCATTCTTCTTCTTTATAAATTATATTTGGCAGGGTGTATTTGAGAATCCCTTTTATGTATAAATGTATTAGTTTTGACTGTTTTCAGTCTGGATATAAAGAGAAATGATATTTTAATCCCTTTCTTCTTCTCTTAACCCCTTCCCCATAAACAGGCACACACATCCCTTCACACAGGTGTTTCAGTTACTTTCGAAGTCCATCCTTAATGAAAGATACCTCTATTATGAGAATGGATGTACTGGCGTGTGAATAACTTGTCCTGTTGAATTTTAACCCTCTTTTGGAAGCTTAATCCTTTCCTACATTTAAGTTAATATCTATAACTGAAAAAGTATTTTGTAGCAATGGTCTTCCTTTCCTATTGAGAGAACCTAAAATTTTCTGATTTTTTACAGCCTTGATGTTCTCCATGTAAGGAAAATGCAAGAGAAAAACCTTGAAATGAAATCATAGAACATAAACTACGGTCTTAGATTAGATTACAAGCCATCTGTTTTCTCAAAATAAAAGCATTAAAATGTTATGTCATTAGTATCATAGTTTGTCAATGCCATCTAATTATTATTTTTTCTCTTCTTCTTTTATTCTCCTTCTCTTTCCCCTATTTATTAATTTTTTTATTCCCATCTCCAGTGTGACTTTCTTCTGAACTCAAAAACTCATCTAACTATGAAAACATGATCAGCTAACTGTGTACTGACTTTTTTATTCTAATAAAGATTTATCTTCATCTTGAAAGTACTTAAGAATGTTTGAATAACTAGATTTAACCCAGTGGGAAAATGCAAAATATTAACTTATTAGGCCAGGGTTAAAGAAAGATCAGGAATTAATTTTTCACCTTAGTTTCAGTATTGTGGATATAGTAAGAACATTATTTCACGTCAGCAGTTATTCACATCTTGTTATTATTTCATAATGCAGGATTGAGGAAATCTGTACACATAAAATTATAGTTTAGTTAGTGTTAAAGGCAAAATAAAACAATAAGTTGTACTCTTTGTTGCCACTTATCATATGTAGTATTTTATGTTTGAGAGAACCTGGCCGTGGTGTCATCCAAAATCAATAGCGTATCAACGCTCCCTTGATTTAGTGAAGGTTCTGTTGCCTAGTACTATAGTCAGATCACTCCGCTATTGCTTCCTATCTTACTTTACAGCCTCTTTCATTCTATGCCTATTTAATTTCACTCATTGCTTTATTCCTGTGTCCTTCAGCTGTTTCCAATCTGCCCTTCATGGCCATGACTAAATACAATATGTTAACATACAAAGGTACGTTAACATACAAGGTATGTAAATGAAAATCAATGCACTTGTCATTTCAGCACAATTCCTTATTGCTTACATTCAACATTTTAAATACATTTTATTTAAACACTAATAACTTTTGTTCTTGTCTTGGAAGTCTAATGATCTTCTTGGCTCCCTGCCCCTACAGCCCTCTAATCTTCACAGCCGTGGCCACTTAGCCCCCATCTGGAGGTTCAGGCTTATTCTGCATCTTGGAGCTAATCTTGTCCCTATGCTGGGGGCATACAAGATATCATAGCCAAGAGCTAACTGATTTAGCACTCAGCTTTGCTGCTGGTTTCATTCTGATCTTGTAATTTATTTCTCAGATGTAGGCTATGCTTCTCCCAGCAACTTGTAACCAAGGCTTGGCTTTGTATACCAGTTGCAATATCTATCCAGGCTTTCCTGTTTCAGTTCTTGACGAGTTTTTCTGATTGACACCAATTTCTCCATGACTAAGGTTCTCCTTTGTCCTTCTCCTTGTCTCATTTGTAACTGAATTTATTTTCTGAAGTACAGTTGCCATGGCTGGGCCCTGTAGACAATTGCTAAGCCTTTCTGGTGCCACTATCCTTGCCCATATCTTTTCATACTGCCTTCATACCATGGATCTGAACTTTTGCAAGAATACCAGGATTAACCCCCTGCTTGCCTGGATGTTTTCCCACTTCCAGCTGCAAACATCTACCTAGACCAGCTCTAACCTTGCAGGCCTTGGAGAGTCACTGCAAATATGCTGCCTGCAATCTGGCCATCTCATTGTCTAGACATGACAGCAAAGACATATTGTTTCAATTGCATCTTTGGTTGAATTGTTATGCTAACAACCTTTAGTTACTTTCACCTCGTATCTTCATCTTGGTCCTGCCACTTTAACACTTTAAAACTCAGTTTTCTCTTTTTAGAGTAAAATAATAATGGAATCTACCTCCTATGGCTATTTTGAAGATAGCTGAGAAAAAAAAACAGTATACAAATGGATAAAACCCATAGTAAACAACCAATAATTTTCAGCTGCTCTTAAAAGCTCATGTCTTAAATGTCTTGGAGAATGGAGCTATACCACTTAAAGAATAATCATTAAAAAGATAAGGAACTAGGAAAATTAAAATTCTTAAAAAAAAGAGACTCATGTACATTTTTTAAAAAGTGAAACAATTTATAAGAAAACAGCTTGAAAAAATGATGCTGAAATACAGATGCAGTCACCAATAAACGTTAGAAACGAAATATTTTAAGGATACATTTCCTATTTGTGTGTCTTGATCTTATGACTACAGAAGAGCCCTAAAGCATTTAGGAAGGAGAAAGAGTCTTTGAATTAGTCATTTATTTTAGAGTAGTATTTCCATAATCCCCTGGGGGTCTTGTAGAAAAGTAAAATTTTGAGTCCCACTTCTCTGAAATTCTGATTCATTAATTTTGGGGCAGAACTAAATAACTGGTATGTTTAAAAAAATTCTCAAAGTACTTCTGGCAATCTCTCAGTTTTGGGAACCACAAATTCATCAGCCATTAAGGTCCCTAGGATGTTTTTTAAAAACCATACATTTGTTGGCTGGGCGTGGTAGCTCACACCTGTAATTCCAGCACTTTGGGAGGCCGAGGCGGGCAAATCACCTGAGGTGAGGAGTTTGAGACCAGCCTGGCCAATATGATGAAACCCCATCTCTACTAAAAATACAAAAATTAGCCGGGCATGGTGGTGCGCACCTGTAATCCCAGCTACTCAGGAGGCTGAGACAGAAGAATCTCTTGAACCCGGGAGGCGGAGGTTGCAGTGAGTTGAGATCGTGCCACTGCACTCTAGCCTGGGCGACAGAGTGAGACTCCATCTCAAAAAAAAAAAAAAAAAAAAAAAAAGAAGCGAGACTCTGTCTCAATAAAAAACAAAAAACATACATTTGTTTACCTCAAGATGGTCAAACCAGTGCATAGACTCTCTCACTCGGCTCCTAGCTGCCCATTGGCTAGAAGTGTTTGACAGGCATGAAAACTCTACTGCTGTCTGATTTTAGTAATAGATGTTTATTTCACTTGGCTATTCAAAGGCAGTGTTTACTTGTAAGTACGTAGTTTACCCTAAGAACCACCATTTGCTCAGATAGAATCTTCACTTAAAAAATATTTTAAGTGCAGACTGTTTTACTACTGCCACATAATCTTGTCTTAATTTTTTTTCTTCATTTTCCTTAGATGAATTTTCCCCTCTACTCACAAAAGTTTGATCAAAATGATGGTTAACTGCTCTAGGCAAGCACAGTCTACATACTGCAGAAAATAAAGAGCAGCCAGATGTTTTCCTGAAAGGGGTGAGGTATATGTAAAAAAGAAAAAGAGAGAAATAATAGCAATAATAATAATAGGAAGAAGATGAAGACAAAGGAGAAGGAAAAGAAGAGGAGAAGGGGAAAGACAGGGAGGGAAAGGAGGAGGAGGAGAAGAAGAGGAAGTGGAAGAGGAAGAAGAGGAAGAGGAGGAGGGGAGGAGCAGAAGAGAGAATAGGAGAGGAATAAAAAAAGGCTGCTGCTTTTCATTATCATGACACAAAGAACTCCCTCAGAAGTTTGAGTTATTCACTTTTCAATGTGCTTAAGGTGGGACGAATACAGTAGAAAGCTAAAATGTTGGCACCCATTCAAAATAATAAGTATTATTCATTATCTGATGAACATATCTTTAAAAGAGTAGTTACTCCATCATCTTAGAAGTCAGATTAGCAACTGGTATGATCTGAATGTTGCTGTCCCCCTCCCCAGATTCATATGGTGAAATCCTAACCCCCAAGATGATAGTATTGGGAGGTAGGACCTTTGGGAGGCGATTAGGTTATGGGGGTGAAGCCTTCATGAATGGGATTAGTGCCCTTATAAAACAGGCTCCACAGACCTCCCTTGCCCTTTTTGCCATGTGAAGCTTCAGTAAGAAGAAGGCTATTTTAAGAGAAAGTGAGCTCTTATCAGACACTAAATCTGCCTTGATCTTGGACTTCTCAGCCTTCATAATGGTGAGGAATAAATTTCTTTTGTTTATAAGCTACCCAGTTTATGGTATTTTGTTATAGAAACCCAAACAGACTAAGTCTGATCATCTATTGCTGCCTGATGATGCCTTTTAAAAATCTTGAGATAAAGTCTCACTCTGTGGCCCAGGCTGGAATGCAATGGCATGATCACAGATCACTGTAGCCTTAACCTCCT
The DNA here is from genome assembly GCF_000001405.40 of Homo sapiens. Lineage (NCBI taxonomy): Eukaryota > Metazoa > Chordata > Mammalia > Primates > Hominidae > Homo > Homo sapiens. Next base: position 192,057,137 of record NC_000002.12, read on the forward strand.
GTGCTCAAGTGTTCCTCCCTCCTCAGCCTCCTGAGTACCTGGGACTACAGGCTAGTGTGACCATACCCAGCTAATTATTATTATTTTTTTTTATGGAGATGTGGGTCTCACTTTGTGCCCAGGCTGATCTCAAACATCTGGCCTCAAGCGATCCTCCTGCCTTGGCCTCCCAAAGTGCTGGGAGTACAGGCCTGCTGGGAGTACAGGCCTGAGCCATCACACCTGGCTCTGATGATACTTTTTCAAAGATATTCTAGTAAATAAGACTTTTTTTTCCCTCTATATCCTAACATTGACAGTTTTGGGGGGCTTCAATGATATTTTAGTGTGCCTTATCAAGTAATGCCATGGATAGCTGCTTGGCTGGCCCACCTCTTAATCCAGTTCCAGAAATTCCTTGCCCTCATTTTTTTTTTCACTTGGGAACTGAATAAGAAAATAAAAATGCAGACAATGTCTTCTGTTGCAGAATGGTTGATGGTGTTAAAAAGAAATTAATCACTGTCATTATTTTGTCTAAAAGAATAAAAACAGCATATTACCAGACATCCTCGGCATCTTCGTCACATTCTGCACCAAACTGGCAAATATCACAGGTGGATGTCTCCTTTTGACTAGTTTCTCCAGAGCCTTCATGGACTGTAGGACAGAAAAACAGTAAAAGGAATTCAGGTAATTGTGCATTATATCTACAACTCCAGGACAATTCTTTAATTAAAGCTGCTACTTTCCCAATGGACCTGTCTGCTATTGAAGCTTCATAAGAATGTCAAAAGCAACTCTTTTTTTTCCTCCAATTTAAAGACAACTCTAACAATAATATGTTTCCCATTGGTATGTGGTGAACACGTTTGCATTTTGCATGCTAAATAAAACAAAAAGCATGTGAGTTTATTGGATTCATCAAAATTATTTGCCTAATAGACCATATGAAAGAGTTATTTAGTTAAAAGGGAGTTAAATTTTCACCTCTCTGAGGGAGAGATCTACTGTCTATTTTACTGAAACATATTTAGCATTTTCTTATTTCCAGATTATGGACTTTTTCGTTCAAAGAAAGTTTTCATGTATAATTTTTAAAAATTTAGATGAGCATCCCTGATTTATTAGATAATGCCCCCATTTTTCCCCTCAAACTGTTAAGTACTTATAAGAAAAAGTATGTTGATTATAAGTTTTTAGAAAATAGTTTTTAGTTGTTTTTTACTGTCATTTACTGAATCTTACATAAGTATTGCATAGAGCTAATCACAGTGATTCATTGTTAGAGGGTTATGAACATATATTTTATTTTAAAAAAATACATTGAGTCACTGTTTAGTCACTGATAATGATGATTGATATTGGTCCTTTTTTCCTCTAAATTACAAGTGCAAAAATAGGCAATATATCACCTAATTATAAAGTTAGTCTTTCAAAATCAGGATACAACAGTGTAAATTGAGAAAAAATTTCTAGTATTTGAGTACAAGGAATGAGCAACACTTTCAAGGTGAATTACCTGTTTTCCCAGTTAAAAATATATAGTTGAAAGAAAAAGTAGTTTTATTTTAAAATGAAAAATTACAATCAACTAACTACCGCATAGATAATATAATTCCATACACAGATCATATACATTTAAAAACAGATGTTTAAATCAAGGGAACCTTTAAGAAGTGCACTTCTGCAAAAGAACATTTTCAACAGAAAAAGAACATAAGCAATTAATCCCAGCATTAGTTCCTGTCTTTATGAACATTTTAAACAACAAAGACAACTTATTAACATGCACCTTGAACCTGTCAAATCCAATCTTACTTATTTAGTTTTAATATGTTATTTTCTCTTCATTTCTTTTTTGTTTATTGACAAGTTTTTCATACTTATAAAATCAAAGATCTTTAGTTTTCTTTAGTTTACTGCTGTTCAGATGAGTAATTTGATTTACTCAAAAAAGGACAAGAAGACATCCCTAGGAGAGTTATCTGTTTTATAACTCTTCCAAGAAAGGTGGAGGGATTTATTTTTTCTAAAACATTTTTTTCCTGTGCTTGATAGTCAACGCTTACATTTTTAAAACAATATGAATTAAACAGGTCAATTTCAATTGCAAAAGTATTGATGGTATAGTTTTCAATTTGGATGTCTTAAAAAAAAAAAAAGGTGTCCTCCCCAAAAAGAAGAAGGAATTTTAGACTCTGATAAAATAGACAGCACTTATCTTATTATTCACTCTATTACTTTAATATAGGCAAGACCATTAGAGTGGACCATGGGGATAAGAGGGAAGCTGGGGCCTCATCTCAGGGGAGACCGAACAGCTGAGGTCGGTCTCTTTATTACTTTCTGATTATTAATGCAACACAGAAGCTGCTAATGGGAGAAAGCCTTTTAGTGTTAGCAAGATTAGCAACTTCCAGACTAAAGCTTCCCATTACTCAGGAAAGATAAGAACACAATGGCAAGGACCTTAATGAACAGTGATGGCCACTTAGAGACAGCCCCATTTTCTTCAGCAGTTGAGATCTTTGGTAAGGGATTGACTGGAGGTCATCCAGGGATAAATTTTGCTATCTCAGCAGGACTAATAATAATATTTCTACCAGAAGTCATATTACATTTCTATAAAAGGGCAATTATTGGTAAAATGGAGATGTTTGGAAATTCTCTGATAAGGAGAAGTAAATTCAAAAGAAGCAGTAGGAATACCCCCATCAATAAGTATTGTGTGAATAAAGTGCCTTTCTATGAAGTCACCCACAAAGAAATATAAAATAAAGTATTTCCATATTACTGGAAGCATTGGTTTGCACCTTTGTATAACAGTAAACAAACAAATGACTTAATCGGTGCACAACTTTCATTTAACTTTTTATACCAGTGGTTCTTAAATAGGGTCTGATTCAGAGGCTTTCGTGGATCATATTTTTTTTTTTTTAATAAAAATGCCCTGAGATATCCTTGGAGATACTGAATTGGACTTAGTTTGGGGCTTCAATATGCCTATTCTGAATACAGACTATCTCCGAGGAAGAGTCTCTGCCTTAAGCAATACCAAGAAGACTTCATCTGTCCAGAGCATCCTCCTCAGGCATCGTCTAGCACAGGGCTTCTGATGCTTTAAAGTGCACAGGAAGCACCTAGAGGTTTAGTTAAAATGCAGATTCTGATTCATTAGGTGCGAGGTATGGTCTCAGGTTCTGCATTTCTTACAAGTCCCCAGATGCTGCTGCTGTTGGTCCACAGACCACATTTTGAGTAGAAAGAATAGCACTGTGTTTTTCAAACCACAGTTCACAACCTTTTAGCGGGTGGTGAAATTAATGCATCATGACTTGCATTTCTGTAAACATGAAACAGACTATACTAGTCTAGTAAGTACCAGACTCCATCTTATTTAGCAAGTACATGTTTTATTTTATAACACAGCTTTAGTTATACATATGTACGTACATGCAGGGCTGCAATATAAATTGCAATTCTTAGTAAAGGTCACAGTCACAAAAGCTTGAAAACCACTGATTTAGTACATGTTACACTCTCAGTAAATGTGTGCTAAATTGGACTGTTGCTTCTTTCTCTTCTTTCTACATTACCAGTAACAGGAAAGATCAGTGCTTATTTGCATTCATACACTGATTAGGAATAAAATTCATTTATCTTAAAGTATTATCTTAACCATGCATTTATATTGTAAGCTCTTTTATTTTGAGTTGCAAAGTAAGATAATTATTTCCCATTATTTTATAGAAACTTAGGTTTTGGCAAGCGATTGAGGGAAATTTGAGGGGTGAGGGAAATGGAGCTACTGAAAGCACATTATCCCTAATATTCTGCCCTGCCATTAAAATGTATTTAATCATTTTAGGGAGGTTTGGAATCGGAGGGATTATAAGAAATGATTGAGTTACTTCTCTCTCAGATCTCTCTGCCCTGGTAATTTCTTCTGAAGGTTGAATTCCATCACCACCCTGTTCTTCTTGCTGGTCCTACATGATGATGTGCCTGCTGAACCCAGTTCTCACTATCATGCTTCCTGTGACTCTTATAATATTCTTAACCTGTTATACCATTTCTGAAAACAGTGAACTATAATGTTCAAACACATGGGTAAGCATTGTAATTCACTCTGATAAAAATGCAATTAAAATTGACATTCAGTGAAATGAAGTCATCCATCAATATCTGCTGGTTCCCCATTCACAAATTCAGCCAATCTTGAATCAAAATATTCAGAAAAAAAGTACAAAATAATAATGCAGAAATAAAAAATAATAAAAAAATAAAAATAGAGTATAACACATTTTTACACAGCATTTATGTTGTATTAAGTATTACAAGTAATCTAGAGATGATTTAAATTATATGTGAGGATGTGCATAGGATACAGCACTTTATATCATCAGGGACTTGAGCATCCACAGATTTTGGTATACTGTGGGGAGGGCGGGTCCTGGACCCAATCCCCTGAGGAGACTGAGGGATGACCATGCACAGATCTTAAGGGTACCTGATATGGTTTGGATGTTTGTCCTCTACGAATCTCATGTTGAGGTGTAATCCTCAATGTTGGAGGTATGGGTTGGTAGGAAGTGTTTGCATCATGGGGGTGGATCCCTTATGAATGGCTTAGGGCCATACCCTTGGTGATGAGGGAGTTCTCACTCAGTTAGTTCACATGAGATCTGCTTGTTTAAGAGTCTGGGTTTGTTTAAGAGTCTGGAACCTCTTCGTTCTCTCTCTTGCTCCCCGTCTCGCCACATGACACACCTGCTGCCACTATGCATTCTGCCATGAGTAAAAAGCTCCCTGAGGCCTTACTGGAAGCAGATGCCGGCACCATGCTTCTCATACAGCCTGGAGAACCATGAGTCAGAATAAACTTTTTTTCCTTATAAATTATCCAGCCTTAGGTATTCCTTTAGAGCAATGCAAATGGACTAACTCAGTAGCCTTTAATTAGTGTTGAGTGCATATCAAGACACATAGAACAACTCTATCATCCCAGAAAGTTCCCTGGTTACCCTTCCCAGGCATTGCCCTACCACTACCCTGTCTATATATGGGCAGATGTCTGTCACCACAGATTAGTTTTAACTATTCTAGAACATCACATCAGTGGAATAATTCAATATGTAATTTTTGTGTCAAGTTTCTTTCACTCAAAATGATAGCTTTTGAAATTAATTCAGGTAGTTGCATGTATCAATAGTTTATATCTTTTTATTGCTTAGTATTCCATTGAATGATACACTGCAGGTTATTTATTCATTCTCCTGTTGAAGGATATCTGGGTTGTTTTCAGTTACTGACTGGAAATTATAATTGGGTATTTATGAATAAAGCTGCTGTACAAATCCTTGTAAAAGACTTTGTGTACACATATGTTTTGATTTCTCTTGAATAAATAACTAGCAGCAGGATTACTGAATCTTAAGGCAAAAATTATTGTTGGTGGTGGTTTTTAAATTCTCCACCTGCAGGAATGTTTAATATATTTTGGGTACAAATCTGTTGTCAGATATATGTGTTGCAATATTTTTCTCGGTCTATTTTGTTGACAGTGCTAACCTTGCATTCCTGGGAAAAGTCAAACTTGATCTTGGTATATTAACTTTTTAATATATTGCTGGATTTCATTTGCTAATATTTTGTAGAGCATTTTTGTATCTATTTTCTTGAGATATGCTGGCTGTAATTTTCTTTTCTTGTATTTTCCATGCCTGCCCTTCATGAAATGGGCTGAAAATTGTTCCCACGTCTGCTATTTTATGAGAGTTTGTGTCAGAGTAGTATTATTTTTTATTCATAAGTTATAACTCACTAGTGAAACTATCTAGTCCGGGAGTGTTTTTTTTTTTTGTTGTTGTTGTTGCTATTCAATTACAAATTTGATTTCTTTATACAAGGCTATTTCACTTTTTTTATTTTATTGATTTCTGTTCTTTTTATTATATCCTTGTGCTACATACTTAGGACTTAATTTATTATTTTTCTAGTTTCTTAAAATGGAAGTAGAAATGCTTGACTTTATGCCTTGTTTTCTCATATAGGTATTAAAATGTATAAATTGCCTTCTAAAGATTGCTTTAGTTGCATACCACAAATATTGATATGTTGTGTTTTCATGTATTTCTGTTCAAAATATATATTGGAATATCCTTTGAGATTTCTTAGACTCATGAATTATTTAGCAGTGTGTTTTTAACTTCCAAATCTTTGGGGGGTTTTCAAATGTATATTATTTTTATTCATCTTCATTAAATTTAATAGTTTAATTTATCATCATTGTATTATTTAAATACTTTGTTTAATTTAGGTACTTTGAAATGTATTGTAACTTCTTTTATGGCCCAGGATATGTCTATCTTTTTGAGTATTTCATGTGCACCTTAGAAGTTGTAGCTTGCTCTAGTGTGGAATGATTTTCTATTAATGTCAATTAGCTTACATTGATGGTTAGTGTTGTTCAAATCATCCATAACTGTACTGATTTTTATTTAATTGTTTTATCTATTACTGAGAAAATAGTGTTAAAATCTATATTGGTGACAGTAAATTTGCGTCTAGTTCTCTTTTGTTTTGTCAGTTTTTGTCTCATACTTGGGAGCTTTGTATTGGGGGTATAAACTTTCAGTAGTCTTATGTCTTCTTGAATAAGTGATTCTTTTATCATTATGAAATGCCCCATTAAAATCTCTGCTAGCACTATTCAGCTTGAAATCTACTTTATTTTGATATTCATATTGCCTCACCAGCTTAATTTTTTGCTTGATGTTTCCATTATTTTACTTCCAATCCCTTTGTTCCTTAAGTTTAAAATGTGTTTCTTTTAAACGACATACAATTTAGTCTAACTTATAAAAAAAATCTAGTCTGGATTTAATCAGCGTGTTTAGTCCTTTTACTTCAATTATTGACATGTTTAGTTTTAAGCTCACCAACTTGGTATTTGATTCATATTTGACCAATCTTTTGTTTCTCTGTTTCCAATTCTTTTTTGTGTGTAATAAAGTATTCTTAGGTATATGTTTTACCTTATCTCCAATAAATTTTTGGTGGGGAAGTAGTGTTTCTTTGTTATTATGATGGTGGTTGCTTTAAGGATTACAATATGTATCTTTAAATTATTCTATTACTTCATGAAAAATTTACTAACTTTATGACAATATATTTCTAATTATCATATTCCAGTCTTTGCATTCTTATTGTCATGTATTTTATTTCTACCTATGTGATAAAACTCATGTCCTTTTAAAACATTATTTTTACTTTATACAGCCATTCTACTCTTTTGTGTTAATTTCAAAGGCAAAAAGCTAAAGTTTTCTATACTAATGAAGACCCCTGCCAATCGCTACTAAATGATTTGACGTCTGTTCTGTATTTGCCTTAACTTTTCAAGACTTATCTATAGTACCACATTCTCCATGAAAAACACTTTTGGCATATGATGCACAGTAGATTGTATCATTTCCCCCCATTATCTTTCCTCCCTTTCTGATAAAAGGATTATATGTTTCTTGCCATAGCTGCATGACTTGCAGTTCCCTGATATCATCATTAGTTTTCTGACATGCTTTTGCCATTGAAATGTGAGTGGAATTGAGAGAGTTCTTAATAGAAGCTATTAAAAAGCTATCATGTGAATTTCTTCTTTCTTGCTTTTTCCTTCTGTACAAAAAAGACACATTCCAAAATATGGGCTGTTCCTTCAACCAGTTCCAGAAGGAAAAGATACATAGAGCACAGCCACAGTTGACTTTAGTTATCAAAGCAAGGAATATGCCATTGATTCTGTAAGCCTCTGGGATTTTGAGGTCATCTGTAATTTTAGCTTTACCTAATGAAAGCTGACTAATAAAATATGGATCAATGTTCTTGATAAATTCTAAGGAAATAAATATTTTTACATCACTTTCCACAGTTCAGATTTTGGTTGCTTTACTTACCTACACAAACCAAGATCTCCTTTTAATTTTCTCCAAATCTGCCTTTAAACTTTCTAATATTTTCTTTCTTTGTCAGCTTAGATTTGATAATAGTTAAGGTGTGTTTCTTCTATTATATTTTGGCTTTCTCCCAATGTAACGCTACTCTTCCTACTTTATGCATGGTTCAAATTTTATCTTCCATGTAGCTCTAGTACTTCTCTCCTACTGACATGTAAGACGTCCCATTTAAATTAAGCATAGCATAACATTAAATGCAGTATAAATGTGCATAAATAGAAGCATTTACATACATCAAGTGTGAAATAAAGCAGGCAGTCCCTGAAACTAACAGGTTATGTTAACAAAAATAATGAGACTTCTAGATTTAAAATATGACACAAAAATACTGGTTCTACACTCATTTAAATTATTACGAGGCTGAGAAAAGAGCTTTTACACACATTTTATGCAGATATTAATCTGGTTATCTCAAACTTTAGAATGCACATTTCTGCTATTTTAGTCAATATCAATCTAGTGGTCTGTGTTTTTTTCTTAAATAGGTAACAAAATAGTTCTTGATAGGCTTATCTTTTTTTACTTTATTTACATAAATAAATGATGAGTGATAGCATTTAATATATCTGTTGTAGCTAAAATGACTATCGAGTTATGAACAATTTTTCTTTTTGAATAAATTATAAAAATTATTGTCTCATTATCACAAAAAATCTGAATTGTGAGTTTACGCTCAAATAAAGGACATATTTGACTTAGAAAAATAAAAAGAAAATTTTAAATAAAAACTCTCCATTCTGTTCTTTAATTTGTACAACTTGCCTATTTTGCATCTTGTGTGAGTTTTCCCTCCATATGCTTCTCCCACATGTGAGTAAGTTGTATTTAAATGATGGAAGCTGTTGACAGTTCCTAGAGGCCCAGACAATTCTAAGCTGTTGTTTTTGAGCTGTAGTCATATTTTCTTTAACATTTTCTAAATTTTCCCTAGAAACCCCAATATGACTTTAAAGAAAAATAAGAACAAGAAAACACTTTCCTTTTTTTTCATAGATTATGATATATGAGCCATATGAATAATAGTTATACTGTTACATCGTATTATTAAAATGGGAAAACAAGAAGTAGCATTTTGGTTTGTTATCTATAAAACTAAAACAAATTAATACTGCATATGTATCAGTGTCATAGTGCAGTAACGTGTTCAGATTTTAGGGAGGAAATCCATTATCTTTGTTTCTTTTTGATTAAAAAATCTATCACCACTGATAATTTTTAATTTTAAATTGATTTTAATGCCAAAAACTAAAGGAAGCCTGAAATTACACTTAAACATAACGGTTTACGGTTCTAAAATCCACTTGAAAAGCCCAAGAACCAAGCTTATGATTAAACAAATGTAATTTCATATTAAAGACTTCAAAAGAAGAGATCATTACAGAATATTTAATTTTTCATAATTAAGCTAGTTTGCTAGAGCTTGACAAAGCTTCTTTAGAAATCACATATAATTTATCTTTGCATATTAATGAAAAATAATTTAAGAGATTAATACAAAGCTACTATGTTGAGGGACAATTCTATTATCATCTAAGCCTGAGTTACAACTGAAGATACTAAGTTCATTTTAAAAAGGAGAAAGAGATTAATGAAGTCAGGAAGGAAGAAAAGAAGAAATGAAGGAAGGAAGGCAGACAGCCTGATATCATGCATAGCAAAATTCATTTAGAGCAGGTTACTATGCCAGACTTCATGAAAATATATCATATCAACTATGGTATTATAATTAAATATAGCTTTGTTATTCCCAGGATAATTTATTTGAATCATTTTATGCATATTCATATAAATGGTTTTTAATTTTTTCCTTATTTAATTCCTGAAAGATGAGAAATTTCTTTTTTATTGGTAAATTATAAACAATCGCTTGGGCTACTGGAGGGCAAATCCCAGTTAGAGGAGATTGAGAAAAGCCTGGGAGGTTACTAAGTGGAAACAGCAAATGTAGCCAATACTTTTGCAAGATTTGCTAATGAGGAGAACAGAGAATGCATCATTACTTGGATAAAAATGTAGGGTCAAGAGAGAGATTTTATGGAAGAGTAGTGTTGAGGCATCATTGTATGCTAAGAGGAATCATAGAGCATAGAGGAACAAAGTTAGATGGGAAGGAAAGGGGATAATTACAGGAGCAAAGTAGGGATTGGGTTTAGACAGAGGGGTAGTGGTTGGTCTTAGAGGCAGGACCATGTCTTCTCCTGGAGGAAGAGGGATGGCAGAGTATGTGGGTACATATGTAGAGAGGTGGTGCCACTGAAAAGACAAGATGAAGTTGATCTCCTCTAGTTGTATTCATTGTCTCTCTTGTATTTACATTTAAGGAGGTCATCAGTTGAGGTGATGTGACAAGGAAAAAGATGTGAAATACTGCAGGAAAATTAATGTGAATAAAGGAAGACCTAAGTCTTTCTAAGTCTTCCTTACATCAATTTGTTGCTTGCCAACTTTGTACTTAATTCTTCTAATTAGTAAGCCTCTAATGAATAAAGATGTATCTTTATTAACTTACACTTCTGTATGTCTTTAGCAAATGGCATTTGGTTTTGATAACTTAAAGGTATTTTGTGATAGAGCAAGTTTCATTTGAATAATCAAATAAAGACTTAATTGCCAATTGAGTTAACTTTAACCTACTAAAAATTTGTTTTGGTAGAGGGAGTTCACAATCTGTTAATAACTTACTCCATGTTTGTGTCCTAAATATTTTCCCATTCTGTCACCACGGTAGTAGTTGAGATCTTTATCATACCTTGCCTAAATTTTAAAGTTACCTTCTAACTAGCTGATTTCTATACTTAACAAACCTGCCTTTCTTAAACATATCTCCCATGTCACTTACTGAAATGAAAATCTGATAGTGACACTTAAAACTGAAAATGGCATTAATTAATCTAAATGCACTTGCATCTTCACAAAATTCTCCTAATGCGAAAAAAAGTAGAGTTGGGTTGCCCAGATTCTTTCTTGAGGCTCAGAACTTTTACTTGTAAAATGAGATGCCTGCCCTGCTCAGCTCACAGGCTGTGGAGCACATTAAATAGGAGGATGTGTGACTTTGCTTTGCAACCTCTAAATTGCTCTGCCACTCTAAGGCGTTATCATTAAGAAAGTGTTAAAGGTGAAGGAAAGTCATTCTCTTATTCCAAGTAAGATGGTTCTTTGAAGGAAGTCCACGGCTGAGCATCTCAAATGTGAATTTTTGACCTTATAATGATGCTGAAGTAGAAATCTTTGTATGAACAGAGGAATAAGAAACACAAAACAGCATAACAAAAACAGATAAAAATATTATGGAGCCTATAGAAAAAGTCTTTCCCTGAAACATCTAAATTTGGTTTCTTATATTGAGGAGTAAAAGGATCAAGGGAGGAGCAAAGGAGCAAGTAAGAAATAAATAAGAAGTCCCTGGTAGATATCTTCAGAAATTGCCCGGAGCTCCAGCCTCTTTGTTTTAGTGCACTGGACTTTGGATAAAAGAAAGCACTAAAGTGCTATTTTCTCTCTTTTCTTATTGATGAAGACAAAAACAAAATAAGGGCTTTATCCTTTTCTTTTAGTACTTGCCTACTATGGGCATTAGTTTTCACTGTAAGCCTGAAACACTATCCATCTAAGTCTAACTTCTAAGTCGAGGTAAAGAAGAAATTTAAAAAATCAGGCTTGTTTAAATATATAACTTATTTGGTATAAATAGACCAATGAAATAAAAGAGTAGCAAAAAATATAAAAAGCCAATTTTAAGAGGTCAACATATTTTATAAAATCGGTAGTTGTAGCAATAATTTTTTTGAATTGCCTGTAATATTTTCCAGCCTAGTGTTGTTACTTAAGGCCCAGTTCCTGTTTTTTTTTTTTCTTCTGGAATTACAATATCCAAAACATTAGAAAGAATGGCAAAAACGGAATTCAGTGCCTGTAATTAGCTTCAGTCTTTTGCTAGATCCAGCTACATACCTTCCTTGACCCCCTACTCGACTCACATTGAGAGACCCTATTTCATCTCTACAATTTCTCTTTTGCTATTGGCTCTAGGTGGTAGAGTCAGTGACTCCTGTGATTCCCTCTTCCAGCTTACAACTGCCCCTCAAGCTCTGGTTTCAAATCAATAATTTATAGTCTACCCGCTAGAACCCCTGAAGACCTCTGTAGTGATGCTCCATCTTGGAATTTGCTCCACTAGCAGCCAATTAAGGAGGTCCCAGCGCCTTAGGTTTCATTCCCATCCAAACAAAGTGTTTTCACATACTTCATTTTAAATCATCACACACAAAAAAAATAGATAACAAGAAGAAAAATGTATCCTCAAACATTTAAGGACAGGAAGGTCAGATTTATTTGATTTCAGGTATGAAAGAAGACATGCCCATCTTACACAAAATGAAAAAAAAGAAAACAAACCAAAAAAAACCCCACAAAATGGTCTAAGAAAGCTGAAGAGCTGGAATAGGTTAGAAATTGACTTTGAACTAATCAATATGTCTGCTTACGAAACCATTAGCTCAGTCTGAAACTACAAAGTGAAAATAAATATTTGTGGAAAAGACATCTAGTTTTAAAAAAATTGCATGAGTTTTAGAGAAAATTTTACTGCCATTAGATCACCAAGGTTATCCAGAGATAAATGCAAAGAGATAAATTTTTAAAAATTAACAATGCTCTATTTAGAACTTCTTAATGAGGCTAATTTTTTCAACTTTAGGTTTTTAAATTCAAACTGCTTTCATTCCTAGCTGCATCAAGTTTCATGGACCTTCTATTTTTAAACGCCTTATAACTTAATTATAATATAATTGGAAATTAATCAATTTCCCTGTTTTTTCTAGATTTAGAAAAATGTGTGTGTGTGTGTGTGTGTGTGTATATATATATATATATATATATATATATATATATATATATATATATATATATATGTCTTCACGTTTGGGGGGAAAATTGCTATTGGCCTAAACTATGAAGATTTAGGTTTAACCAGCACCATTATTATTTTTGTTTAATGCTTGTTTTTAGGACATTATACAAAATATTGAAGGACACATAAGCTAAAATTTTCAGGTATAAACTATGATTTAGATTTGTGAATGAATAAAGCATATTGGTAACAATAATAAATCCAAGAAGCATTTTAAATGTCAAAGGATCCGTCTGACCATAACACTGTGAGTCACACTGATGGAATTAATGACAAAATTTTTGAAACTCATGTTTTGTAGGGCTTCACTGCTGTTCATATAATTTAAGATTATGCCTCAGTTTAGAAGCCAATGAGGTATTTCTAATAACTATGAAATACAGGTTAATAAACAATTTTGAATGACTTCTTAAAAATATAAGTCTGATTAAGATACAAGCCTGTTTAGTTCAAAGGCTTTAAGGATGAAAATTCACAGTCTTTACCATTGTATTCAAAGTCTTTCATGATTTTCCCCCACCCTACCATCTCACCTTCATCTCTAGCCTCTTGGCATGTTTCTTATGCTGCAATTATACTTGTCACATTGCCAGGGATTTACACATATTTTATATCCATCTTAGCATGGGGCTTGAGAGGTAAGAACTAGTGGTCAGAGAGAGAAATTTCAGAATCTGAGATCTTTAAATCATAGAAGTTCTAGGTAATAACAAGGTGTAACCACATGTCCAGATGGTTAAACCGAAGTTGAGGAGTCTGAGGACTATGGGGCCAATGTTGAGAAGAAAGATCAAATAGACCCTTTGGTAGTTATTAAAGTTGTGTACTAAATGTCCAGGCATAAGGCAAGTTTGCATTTCCTAGGTGCCTTGTGGTTGACTGGGTCACATTATTTATTCTGACTAATGAGTTGTCGAGTGGAAAGTGACACGGGGTCACTTCAGGGTATAGCATGTAATTGCAAGTTGCAGACCCTGAAGAGCACTCTTTCCCTACTGAGCGAATGCTTTGAATAAGTAAGGGAGGAGGCCAAATTAGGAGGCTGTGCAGCAGAGAGATAGTAAAAAGTGTCAAATGTGTCATGTAATTTGAAAAGAGAACTGACAAGATTTACTGATGTACTGGGGACAGGTGTAATGTCAATGTTTAAGATAGCTGCTCTCTGCCCAGGTCCTCTGGTGACTACAATATGCAGAGCCAGCTGCCCCACATAGCATCTTGCCTAACCAACTGCAGTGAACAAGTAGTGAGAGTGAAAAGTGATCCTTGGTTTTCTTAAGCCACTAAATTTTGGGGGATGTTCTACTACTGCCTAACTTTACATAACCTAGCATTACCTGAATATTTTACAAGATGAGGCTAAGTGGCACGGATGCAATCTGCTTATTCTTACATGTAGGATGAGGTCTATATTACAGACCTAATACCTTCTTAGAAACCTGAAACGTGTCAATTTCACCATTAGCTCTCAAGTACCCAGCTACCTGATTGGTTACCCTAAAAAAGAGTACCGTCATCTCTCAGTGTCTGCGAGGGATTAGTTCCAGGAACTCCTGTGGACACCAGAATCCACAAATGCTCTATTCCTTAATATAAAATTGTGTAGTAATTGCATATAACCTATGCACATCCTCTCATCTACTTTAAATCATCTCTGTGCTACTTATACTACTACAATGTAAATGCTACGTAAATAATCCTTATACTGTATTTAGGGAATGATGGCAAGAAAAAATCTGTACATGTTCAGTACAGACGCAACCATCCACGTATTTTCAAATATTTTATTCCTTAGTTGGTTGAATTCATGGATATGGAACCCACAATACAGAGGGCCGACTAAATATGAAAATAAGTTACGTGCTGAGTCACTGAGAAAAATGATAGTGATGTGGAGTTCAGCAGCTTATAACTAAAGTATGGGGAAAGGTGGCATAGGCAAATAGCATGAACTTCAAATAAGAAGCAGTTTATTGGGTAGTAATGCTGGATTGCATTGAAAATGGTTTGAAAATACAGTATGAAGCAAGGAATATATAGTCTGCTAGCCTTATACGAGAGGTGAGAGTAGAAGTAGATAAGGTTTGAGAGGTGTTGCTCTCTAGCAGAGCAGAAGATAGGAAGAAACTGTTGGAACATTTAGAACAATTTAACCTTACTTTTTCTATAGAGCTAATATTGATAATAACTATCAAAAAAGGTGCAAGAATATACCTAAGTTCTTGTATCCTTAAATAGGCCCAATTTCACTTTCACAGAACATACAGGAAATATTTTCTAATAATCACCTGTATTTTAAAAGCTACATTCACATGCATACTTTAAAAAACTTAAAGCACTTTGATACAAAGATCAGATTGTGGCTGATTCAGGGTATCCCCAAAAGGGGAAAAAAAAGCAACACATTTTTTTTCTATCTCAAGACACATTCTGTTTCCTGACCAAATTCATACCCACACAACATCCTGTACTGTTGCTTTCATTTTTCCTCAATGCTGCTTAGATTTCTTCATGCATATTCGTATTTTTAGATTAGATAAAATGAAGTTTTTTTCCCTGAAAAATATGTGGTGTGATTCAAAGAAAATGTTAATGAAACGAAATACTTAAAACTTTGTGAAATATTGATATGTAGCAACTGATTTTGTCTCTATACTCAAATGCTTTCTCTTTGTGTATCTGAAGCACCATTCTTACGGGATTATATGGATGTACAAGCACTGGTATTGACAGCATTTTTAAATGGGAGAGAAGGGAGAGGAAAAGAGATTTAGTCTATATAGTAGTCCACGGAGACTGCATCATATTCATTTTTTTCAGGAAAACCACCTCTATATAGGAATACCTTCCACCAGCACAACACAAGTACTCCAAATGAAGAGGACTCCACCTGAGTTGCTAAATTCCATGTCAGAAGCATGGGCTGTCTTTCATGACAAATCTCATTCCTCCTCTGCTCCCACACTGCCTGACAAGCAGTTCAAAGAGAAAGGTTGTTAACCACATTCCTTTGCCTAAAAAGGGTTTCCAAATAAAACATGTACCTTGCTTTACTCTTAAGAGGGTCAGATGGTTGAGGTAGTGATTTCTGTGTATATAGGTGGGTTTGTGCAAATAAATGAAAAAAATATTCAGGTGAGGTATTTTTAAATGGGGAAGATGTGTTTTAATCATAGTGTGTATTTTATATCAGCTGTACCTGGCAGAATCCCAGGGCAAGGTGAGTATACTATAAACAATGAAATCTCCTTAGTGAAAACTGCTATATGTTGACAGGAATCTGTGGGTGGGATAGGATGTAACAGCCAAGGGTGTCACTTGTGAAACCTGCTTTTAAAAACATATACTACACATCAGTTTTAGTGCAGCTGGGAATGATTTCAACTTTTTTTTTTTAAGCAAGTTACTTGTATTTAACTCCTATTTAAAAACTCAAGACTATATATCATCAGCAGCCCAACATTAGATTATAAATAAAAACCAGCCTCAGAACTTCAGGAAAATTAAGAAGCCAGTTGCATTCTTGGTGCGTAGAAATGTACACTTCAAAACCTACTAGTTTGTTTAGTAAGTCTGTTAAATGATACAATATCCATATCTATGATTACTCCAGAGATCAAATTAGAAACATTCCTCATTTTTTGGTTTGTCTCTGAGGAAAATACAGAAAAACAAATGCTAATGAAAGTTAATTGACTTCTCAATGTATAATACATTAACCATTCCTTCACCTTTTAAGAAACAAAAATAAAACAAAATAAGGTGTTATCTAATATATTCTTGGTAAATATTATACAATTTTAAGATCTTTGTCAGAATGAATTTAAGTCTGTGAATCTTTTCTGAATATTTCTACAGCTATCTAGATAGAAACACCATACATAAAAATGTTCTTTATTCCAGAATAGATGAAACTCCCAGTGGTAAAAGAAGATTTAGGTATCTCTCAAGGTTTCTTATCACAAAGCAGCATAACTCTCTGATGGTTCAGTGCCTGGGAGGGTCAACTGAGATCACTCATCAAATAAATCAAATAGTCAGATGACTAAAAGAGTGGGTACCTATAGTTCCTTTATTTTCTGACCTCAAATCTTTCTTCTAAGAAGCCAGTAGAGAAATTAATATGTCACTTGGTGTGGTTTATCCAAACCTGAGTATCAACCTGCCTTAAGTTGCTGCTATTAGTTCTGAGAAGGTTTGACTCACTTTTGTAATAATTATATTTAGTTTTAACATTTTAAATTACAAATTACAAAACCTCATATGTTGAGGAAAAGGGGTGGTGAGAAGGTGGAGAATGTAGTGAGTTTGGTCTCTAAATTTCTAGGAGGAATCTTATTGCAAGCATCAAAAATCCATTTTGTTGGGTGATCATAAAATATTCTATAAATATTTATTGAATGATAACTAAACTATTTTATATATCTTTTTGGTTAATATTTGTCTAAAAGCAGTGTTTTAAATTACTATTATTAAAACAAAACAAGTCTTTTAAAAAATGGAAATCAAATGTTCTAGGTTTGTATTTTCCAACACGGAAGCTAGTAGCCACCTGTAGCTGTTTAAATTTACATTAATTAAAATTAAATAAAATTAAAAATCCAGCTTCTCAGTTGCACTAGCTACATTTCAACTGGTCAACAGCAACATGTAGCTGGTGGTTACTGTGAACATGTCCATTAACACAAAAAATGTTATTGGGTAGTGCTGCTCTAACAAGTATATAACTCGAATACATTATATAATAGCATCCATGAATCAATCTTCCCAATTCAGGGCTTTTTAGAGCCTTTCAGACTTCCAAATTTTATAAAATAAGAGATAGCATGACTGCCATTTTCATCTTCTCATGAAGTGGAGAGAATATCTTACTATGATCATATATGTGTGGTGTGTCTATGTGTGTTATTTTTGTATATATTTCTCTTGATAAATAAACAAACACAACAGAAAACTTTAATTAATAAAAACATACTCATTGTATCCCAAGAGCTCAAACAAAGCTGTCTTCTAATTTATTCTCTAAACATCTTAATGACGAGCATCAATATTACTGTGGCTTGAGGTTCCACAGATTAGAATACTCGAACTAGGCACAGAAGGATGAATGTCGCTATAATGAATATCTTTGGTTCCTCTGTCCGAGGCTCTGGCTTCTATATTTGCAATTATATTTATAGTTTGGATTAGCATGCCTATCTCATCCACTGAGATTAATTATTATACCCAGAGTACAGTACTATTATATATATATATATATATATATATATATATATATATATATATATATACATACATACTATGTATATCCTTGCAAAAGTGCTTTCTTTTCATGGGGGCCTAATTCTTCCATGTATAAATTTTGCTCTGTGAGTTTAAACAAAGACAACATGGGACCCTTGAGCAGCATATTACTTGTAATAGGACAGACTTCATTTTCGGTGGCTAAAAATTTCCTACAAAGAATTACCTTCCCAACTGACATCAACAGGTCTCTCATTACTAGCAGTTTGAGGAATGAGATTAAAGCAAAACGAAGGCATATAGAGATTTAATTATGTGTTCACATCTAGAAGCAATGATAAGCTGGGAATCTGCCATTGCCTTGATATTTTGGAGATAAATGGGTATCTGAATAAATAGAAGCCTTCAGCCTCTGCAGCTGTCACTAACATATTTTGCCCTAATTGCAAAATATTTATTTTAAATATTAGGAAGCACACTGAAGAAGCTAACTTCAGTGGAGAAAAAGAGATTTTCAATTTCTAACTTTTCCAGATTAATTCAACTATTGCGGGAGATACTAAGGATGCATTTCATTTTTCATACTGTGGACTTTGTATTCTGTACTTGAGGAAGGAAGAGAAAAAGGAGGAACAAATAAAGGAAGAAAAGAAAGATGGAAGAAAGGAAAGAAGGAAGCAAAGAAGGAAAGAAGGAAGCAAAGAAGGAAAGAAGTAAAAGTGTAAGGAACTACCTCTGTGGTCTCTCTGTGGGCATAATCTGTTTCATTTTGCTGTGTGTTAGCAGCCACACATTACTTGGCACAGAGTAGGTATTTAGGGAATATTTATTACATAAGAAAAAGAATAAAATTACTAAATTTTGTCAGAGATAAAAGTCTTTTTTTCCAACTTAGTATTTATAGGTATATATTTATAGTTATAAGCTTTCTTTACTCAAATATCTATTGCTCTGTTATATTTGAGAAACTCACATGCATTATTGTCCTCTCCTTTCTATGTCTCCCCTATTCTCTTTCTTCCTTTCCTATTATTAACAGAGGTTTTAGACTGATCAATTAAATTCCTAATATTTGGGAGCATGCACCACAAATATCTTCTCTAAATCTTTATTTACTTAAAAATAGAATGCCATGAGAGAATCGAAGTAAAACTAGATATAATTTTTAATTCAATGATATAAACCAATCTCTCTAGCGTCTTCATTTACTCCACCAACACTTACTAAACACGTAAGTGGCAGAATGGAGAGAAAACTGAGCTAAATAAAGTCCCTGTCACTATGGATATTATAGTATCATCATGCTTTAAGACCATGCACTGCACTCTTCCTTTTAAAAAAGCAGCAAGTTCATTTATCCCATTTCTCCAATTCACTCCCTTGCCCACCCTCTACTAGCACCACCTCATTGGTAAGTGGCAGGGAGAGTGAAATTGAAGGAAGCAATTTTGTATTACTGGATTTTGATATTGTGGAACTCAGGCTCTGGGGCAGGGTGTCCCACCACAGATGGTGAAGTGGCATGTGAGTGATCAGGGAGCAGCCAGTGAGCCAAAAAGTCTGCACAGGAAGTGCTTAGGTGTGTAATTAAAGTGGGAGTGAAGATCAAGCTCAGGGCTCAGTCTTCTGACTACATACCACCTCCTGCAATTCTCCAAATGGGACAATCCGAGCTTCAGTTTGACCCTTTTCCTACTGTTAGCATTTCATTTTCTTTTTCAGAGAAATCGGTCATCAGAAAATGATATCTAAATGGTAATGTGTCACTGTGCTGATGAGTAGGGTTACAATGCTTGAGACAGATAGATATATGCAAGTAAGGCAGCTAGATGGCAGATCAAAGGCATTTCCTGACCAGAAGGTGGAAAATAGCGGTTGAGAGTTTTAGCAAATGCACTTAAGAATCTAGAGGAGCTTCTCAGGCATTTATTACAAGCTAATTCAAACCCTTAAGGTTATGGAAGATTTTGTGAAAAGCACTTCTTAACTGACCAACTGTCAATTAGCAAAGAAGAAAATGCCTCAAGTACTCCATTATGATGATGATCAAATACATGGCCTTTGATTACTATAATAATGGAAGTATAATGTATAAAAAAACTCTGGTTTTCGATATGAAAAGGATTCATAACTGGTGATCATCCGTAAAATCTACTGTGGAAAACTACAAGTATAATTGCCCAATGATGCCAATTTATTTTTTTTCTTCCTCAAACTTTTAGGTGATCTATTATAATGAGAAACAATAATCATTAAGGTTTGATCATTCTAATCTAATTTTCTGGATGGCTTATTAACCTTCCAAGGGTGTCTTTCTTCTACTTCTTGATCGTTAAATCAAGCAATAATGAGGCCAGGAATGAGGAATGTCAATTATATAATAATGTCTGAGTGGATACAGAAGGTATCATGGATATTTAAATTTATGTTTTCAAGTTTGTCTACATTTATGTGTATATAAATGAACATATGTGTTCATATATACTTGTACACATACAATTTTATATGTATGTATATATTTGTATATGTTTATATATATAAGCACAACGTTCTGATTTCTTATAAGAGACTTAACAAAACTTCTATGTCTTAAAACATTATTTAAATATTTTTTCTAAACTAAATCTGACTCCTTGCCACCCCCGTGTGTGAATTCTAGAAAATAAACAGACTCTAGCAAGCACTAGAGTCTGCCATAAACAGTGCACATTCATTTAAACTGTACTATAGTCTTTTTTTAAAAAGCAAAAATTTTCAAATCTGACCAATTATAAACACTTAAGAAAAGGAAAGAATGCTTATTCCAAAGGACTGTTCATTAATAGAAAGCCAATGGCATAATTAAAAATTGATGGGTTCTGGATGACTGAGATCTGAGTATAACACCAGGTTAAGTCTGTACTGGCCATATGTCTTTGGGTAATCAGTAAAACTCTGAGCCTTAGTTCCATCATCTGTAATATGAGGGTAACAGTACTGATTGCAGGGATATTGAGATTACATGCAACATATAGAAAGATCTTGACATATGTCAATAAATGGTAGACTTTCAATAAATAGTAGAAATTATTCTTTATCTCTCTGGATTGGAAGCTATTTCTTCACTGAATTAACTCCTTGGATCTGGACAAAAATATTTATATTCAAACCCAGTCTCTTGTGTTCCTTTTCCTCAGAATTAATTCTAGTAGTTGGATCTGGACAGCAATAGAGAGTAAGAATTTTTACTGTGAGTGTTAGAGATACATTGCAGAGATATTTTTAATTTAATCAGGAAAATTCATCACTTATCCTTGCTGATTCTCCATATTACAGCTTATTTGTGGGGAATTCAGGCAAAGGACCCTGATTAGCTCTTTCTTATTCTTTCAGCTAAATCTCAATACAAATGAAAAACTATATTCTATGTAGTGTCTGTTTATAAATTTTAAAATATCACAAATTTGACAACAAATTCTACTCTCTAATCGACTATATCAGTTCTGGTCTGAAAAAGGAAAAAACTATAAATGTTTCTCAAACTTAAGAGCACACATGACACTCACTGCTCTGATACAGCCCTCTTCCAGATAGATTTAGCAGGATCCAACCAATTATTAAATCAATATTTCTTTGTATTCTATTCCTACTAATGGGATATATATGCATATTGTGCCAACAGCTGGTGTACCCTGAACCCATTCTCCCTTTATTACATAATATGGCAGCCTTGGAGGCATTCATCCCAGATCTCACATTAAGAAAAGAGCTTGCCATGTAGTTGCAAGATAGGCAGTTGGCTGAGCACCTTCAACCGTTAAGGCCTTCAGGATTTACCTCAGCTTTCAAGCCAAGGCCACATTGTTCTTGGGCAGCCACAGCCAAAAATTGAGCACAGTGAGGGCTTTAGGGTCAGCCCATTTTTGCCCAATATGAGACTTCTATAATAAGCAATATTTGCTCTGCAGATGTACACTGGGCTGACCTAATCTTCACCAGATTTACATGATGGTCTCAGCTTTGCTGTGCAAAATCTTGCCTCCTTTCCTCTTTCTTTTCATAGTTTTCGGACCTGCAGCACAGTTGGAAGGCTTCTGTAGCCTAATTTTGCTTCTTCCTCGTTTTATCTTCCACTCATCAAATAAGGTTTTTTGTAAAATTACATTTGTTACAATGACTATTTCTCAGAGGACCCAACAGAATTAAATAATAGAAAAAACATGGATCTCTGAGTGATCGTGTGGATCAAAGCTGTTCATCTGTTCTGCAGGCCTAGACGGTCATTGTGAGGGAGAAATAAACTTTATTTTTTGAGTTATTGTGGTACTATGTATTGTTGTTAGAGTATTAGACTCTAATATATGTACAAATAAAGATTAAAATGATTTTTCCTTACTTTCCAAATTTTATATTCCTCAGTCATTTCTTTATCTAAACTTTGATCAGCTTTCTAAAAATAAATTCTTGATTTGCTTACTGGCTTTTTAAGATCTAAAATATTCCTTGTTTTTTATTAGTTTTTAAATAACCCAAACATGTGTATTGCTTGGTATTTATATATCGTGTTGTGTAAATACAGCCTAGGAAGATAGAAAAATATGTAAGCTTGAGTACCATGATACATGATAAGTATAAAGATGATTAGATTCCCTTAATCCAAATAAGTTTACCATTATTTTTAGAACTGGTCTTTTCTATAACCAAAAGTATGCGGTGATAGAATTGAGGCTGGCAGAGCAAATACAATTTTATAAATGGTTAAATGATGATGACATAGTCCAATAGAGTAATTTACTATCAATGTAAATTAAGGCATATTAGCTCACATCAATTAGACCACATTATAACAAAATAATTTACCATCACATAGGCTTACTCCAGTTAGTCATTTAGGAACTTATGTGGCACACATTTCTTGGACACTGATATGGTTAGGCTTTGTGTCCCACTCAAAGTGCATGTTAAATTGTAATCCCCATAATCCCCACGTGTCAAGGGAGAGACCAGGTGGAGGTAATTGAATCATAGGGGCGGTTTCCCCCATGCTATTCTCCTGATAGTGAGTGAGTTCTCAAGAGATCTGATGGTTCTGTAAGGGGCTTATCCCGCTTTGCTGAGCACTTCTCCTTCCTGCTGTCTTGTGAAGAAGGTGGCTGCTTCCCCTTTGCCTTCTGCTATGTTTGTAAGTTTCCTGAGGCCTCCCCAGCCATGCTGAACTGTGAGTCAATTAAACATCTTTCCTTTATAAATTACCCAGTCTCAGGCAGTTCTTTATAGTAGTATGAAATTGGACTAATAGAGACACGTTTGTGAGGCTTGTGTTGAGGTAGAGAGAGTAAGTCAATTTGATATTTCCAGAGACACTGCAACTGCACAAATTTTACACATATCGATTTAAATGACCAGTTTGATGTCTCACAATTTCCTTGTTTGACTACAATAAAGACTTGAACTATATAGAGTAATCTCTTTTCCAAACCCCATACATGTACTTATTAGGCTACTGTTTTATACATCCAAAAGCTTATTTGATTTCCAAATTTTCATCTTCTGCTTCTCATTATGTATAATGCTTTGCAAAATATTTGATCAAACATTTTGATCAAATATTTTGCAAAACATTATATGTAATTCTGTGTGATATTTAAAGGTAAATCTTAAAAGATAACTATCCTTTGTGCTTTTATTTGTCGTTGCTGAATAAAGTATTTTTTAAAATTAGCATTCATTGCAATAATATTTAGAAAGATGGTATAGAAATGTTACAAGAACAGTAATTTTTTGTTATGACAGTGATCAATGAAAGTAAGAACATCTTGTAACAGGTATTTTCGGATGCAATACTAGGGACTATCCAAAACACACATAAATAAACTGAAAAAGCAAAGTGATACGCTTTGTTTTTCTAGTAGCAGCTTGCTGCATAGCTTATTGGTTTACCACAAATCTGCAGAAAATGCAGTGTGCTTTGTAATTTAGTCTTGAAGATTTCTCTGAAAAATTTGTTTGCAAAGAAGCTTGTCTACTTTAATACTAAGCCTGAAAATGCAGGGCATGAAAATTTGTTTCATACTTAAGTAGTTTGAGGTTTTGTTTCATTAGCAAATTTCCGTATAAAGAGGCACGAGCTGGAAGTAATTTCTTTCCAGCCTTATTAATTCTAATTTAAGAAAGATCAAACAATCAGCCTGATGACGTGCTAATTTGTTAAATTCATATACCTGAAATTTAATTTCTACAGAATCAACTGTGCTAAAATATGCTTTTCTTTCCATAGAATCAGGGAATCATAAGTATTATTTTTTAAAATGCCAGAGGGTGAGGGATGATACAAAACTGATCTCAGTGGCAGAAAACTCCTAATGCTTTTTAACCAACTTAGTTATTATTTTCTGTTTGCTTACCATATGGGCATATTACATGGAAAAATATAACGGAGGAATGGAGGAAATTGTCTTCAACATGATCTTTAAAATCATACTTTTAAATACATGAAAATCATTGATGAGGTACCATAATTATTAAACGATTTCCCTTTTTTTTTTTTTTTTTTTGACATGGAGTCTCGCTCTGTCACCTAGGCTGGAGTGCAGTGGCGCGATCTCGGCTCCTGCAAGCGCCACCTCCCGGGTTCATGCCATTCTCCTGCCTCAGCCTCCTGAGTATCTGGGACTACAGGCCCCCGCCACCATGCCAGGCTAATTTTTTGTATTTTTAGTAGAGACAGGGTTTCACCGTGTTAGCCAGGATGGTCTTGATCTCCTGACCTCATGATCCACCCGTCTTGGCCTCCCAAAGTGCTGAGATTACAGGCGTGAGCCACCGTGCCCGGCCTATTTCCATTGTTTTTAAAGTTGTCATTTTTTGCCATTACAGTTAATTCTGTGATGAACCTCTTTATAAATAGATTTTTTATATTGTTTGAAACATTTGCTTAGGACTGGAGTTTTTTTAAATCAAGGAATGTTAAAACCATTTATCCTTACTTCTTACTATTGTTCCCTTACCCGTGGCACACACTTCTCGTCTAGCCTAGTGCTCTTTCCCGCTAAGACCACACGAGGCTTTAGGATTCTTATCAGCACAGAGCGCCAAACAGCACTGGAGTTAAACAGAAAGTCAGAGTTAGCATGCTAAATATTACCTACTTGTCATCTTTCACCTATGATTTTCTAAAAGAATCATCCAATTTTCAATGCTACCAAAAACAAATGAATATGGAGACTTATTGCAACTTTGCTAACATTTTGTCACTTTTTTTCATTTTTAAACTTTTAAATCATGTGTATCATAAGGCTATTGTATTTGTTTCTTGGACTATGCCTGGAGTAAACATCTTTCTATATGTATGTTTGTTAACTATGTTTACTCTGGAATGGACTTTTATTAAAACTGCTTTGCCTATTTACTTACTGGGATTCTATAGAGAAATGACATTCCTCGAGAATTAGATTCGGAACCTCTTTTCTCCACTTGGTATTTATTTTGGTGCATTTCCCCAAACTGTTATTCCTAAAAATTAATTTTCATGCACTTGAGTTAACAGTTTATTTTCAACCATAAAATATGTTTTCAATTACAAAAAAAACGGAAGAGAGTAAAAGATGTCAAAGTGCTAAATAGAACATTTTACTTTATCAGTTAAGTTTCCTGCGTTTGGAATGTGTCGACATCAACAAGATTTTTAGAGAGTTGATTTTTTTTTTTTTTCCGAACATGGTCTTTTGATTACCTCTGCGTTCTTCTGTGATGTTGCTGAAGCTCTTGTCACCTAAAACATTTTCGTTAGGGACACATAATACTATAATATTATGTGCTAAATCCCTATATTTATATATGTGACATTTACAGGCCCTTAGGAAAAAAATTTCAAGATTCCAACTGGGAGGTATAAAGGAAGGCAAAATTTGTAGTAGGTAGTGTCCAGGGAGGAGTAGAAGAATGACTGATGAATGTGGCTCTGCCTGTGTTCTTTTGTACCCAGTTGTTAAAAATCACTGCCCCCTTCCTAGTCTGTCCCCAGTTCTCTCCATCAGGTGATCTGAAGGCTGGGGCAATCATCTAAACTCAGTGTATCAAGGAACAATTCTACTTGTCATATGTGGTTTCAGGAGAGTATAGAGGCCAAACCTCCAAGATTTCCTATTTATGCAGAAAACAGCAATATGGACAGTAAGTCTATTGGGACTTACTGGAAGGGGAATGCAGATGTTGATCAAGAAAAATGTCCTTTTCTGGCATTCTGCAATTATAAATACTTGATGAAGTGAACTGAATTGAACTTCTCCCTCTGCTATATTAATTTGGCATGCATATGGAGAAAAGTTATTTCAAAGTCAAGTAGTAGAAAAAAATCCTCTACATAGCGGTTACCATATGTAGTATTTAGACAGCTCATCAGCTTTCAAAACGCATGTGGTAGTACTTTACAATCAACACCTACCCCCTGAATCTAGTATGTTCATCGTTTCTTAAAGGCCCTAATTGTATTTTCAAATTCCAGACTTTGTTTACTCTTTATTCACATATGAAATGTCTGTCTCCAATTCTAAACTTGTAGGATCTATTTTGACTTAAGGTTCAACTCATGCAATTAGAGTTAGATGGTGTTGCAGGTAAAAGGGGTCTTAGAAAAGGGAATTGAAATTCATTCAGAGCTTTTTCTATACAAGTCACTGGTTCCAGGAGTTTGAAAAATGCTCTTATTACTACCACCACTAGAATCATTGTTACCATTGATGGGAAAGTTAGTTGTGTATATTTCTAATTTAATACTCAAAATAGCTCTATTGGGTAGATAGTATCATCCCTTCTTGTATCTGGGGAATAAGTCCTGTTCAACATCACACAACTCATCGTGGTAGAGATGGTATTTGCAAACAGGTCCATCGGAACCCTAAAGTCAGGCTCTTCCGCTGTCTGTAACCATCTTTTGTGCTTCTGCTTTGATTTGGAAGGCTGATTTTTTTGCTGTAACATGCATTTCTCATCAAAACACCCGCAATATTTACTGTGTGTGCCACTTACTTGACATTTTCTTCTCTGTATTCTCTGTTCCACAGCAAAATTATAACTTCCTTGAGAGAGGAAATGATATTTTCCAAATAGTGCCAATTCTGCTACTTGGCACATATGGGTGCTTAATAAGTGCCTTTTGTTGAACATAATAGTTAACCTAAGCATCCATGTAAAAAAAAGGGCAAGTATTCTCTATATTTTTTAAAAAGAAGAACGGACCCAAAGTGGAAGGACTCTTACTGAAGAGAAGAAAAAGATAAAATCACATTTTTACATTTCTCCACTTTTTATTTTCACCTTTCTACCTCTTCACTATAATTTCAAACATGCTTATATGTTGAGTTTTATTTCTTTTTATATTGTTTTATACTGGGAGCTACATATAAGTGGTTGCTCTAATATTATTTTAATTCGTTAAACAAAAAATGAGATACCGCCAAAAAAGGCATTTGATGCTTATGTATTTTATGATGACAAAAAGCATTTTAAAATGTGAGTGGGTGTCTAGCACAGGTTGATTGTGTTCTTTTTCATTTAGTTTTACATTAACATTTTATCCAGAGGGGATTCATTAGGTTTTTGCCACTGAATTACAGGCACTTTTTAGTTTCCTTGTTTTACCTACTGTTAAAAATGCAATTGTAGCTGTTCTTAACCTTAACACTGCTTGGCTTTTCTTTAAATATTTTAAACTGAAAACTGTCATAAAAGCCCTTAAAAATTGAACCAGCCTCCAATACAAGCAAAGGTTTAGCTTCTTTTCTCGTCTCCTTCACAGAAATGAAATCTGTATTCAGGATGTAACGCTTCTTCTGAAGTGCTTGGAGAATCAGAGAGAATGGCCCATTTTCATTTTAATGAATCATGCTGGAGAATAAATTTACATGATGTTAATACTGAGACCTGGAGATGGTATGGTATAATGCTCATAATAAAGGATTTAGGAACCATGACAGTTCTGGGGTATGAATTCTGGTAAGCCACTCATGTGTGACTTTGGATAAGTTCCTTGAGCTCACAGTTCCTCAGTAAATTGAGATGGAATGCTGGGGAGAGGCAGCACATTCGGCGAGGCCAAAATGAGATAAACAAGGTATCAGGGCTTTACTCTCCATATGCACCCTGGCATTTTCTGCACATCAAACAGCACCACATAGTCGGGCATCACTCACTGTGGGTTATTTAAATGAATCTGACAGCAGCTGAAAGGCCTTGCTCCTAAAGATGGCAAGGCATGATCCCATCCCAGGCAGCCATATGAAGAGATAAACTGGGAGGGTGCAAACCTCAAAACAGTGTGCTTGGTTCCATCTCGCTATCTCAACTATGAAATCTTCTGCACTCTATATCTAATAACCACATTAAAGAGGAATGTGATGAAGAAATCCATATCTATGGAGATAGAAAGTGAACTCATAGAAGCAGGAAAAAAAAAAAAACCACAAAAGAGGTAATTTCAGAATTCAGTAAACAAAGTCAGGTCAGAGAAACCTAGCATACAAATGTACAAATCTGATCACGAAGCTCTTAAGAGAGGACTTTCACCATCATCTCACAGGAGCATTGACTAATCATGCAATTAGTATTCTAGAGAACTCTGCATTTCAAAGGATATATTCATATAGACAGGATTCATTTCCCAAAAGCGAAGAAGAGCAACTTCGAAATGCTGCTATGATCTTTAGTAAATCCTTACCTTTTTCTGTGTGTCAATTCCCTCATTAGGAAAACCAACTCCCATCAATACTATAGGCCATTGCAAAGATCAAAGGCATTATAGGAAAGATGAAATTTGTTATTTTGTGTAAATCTGTATCTTCGGCCATTAATGATATTAGGGAAAGGCAATTATTTAATAATAGTTGGCTAGAGGACTCATTGATATCTGTCCACAACTGATAGCATCTAAGCTTTTGGCATATCCGGTTGTTGGTTGACTTATTTTTGCCTTCATAATTCTATGCAATACCAGTGAGCCACTATAAAGTCTATATAAAAGCACATTTCAAGGTTTGTTTTCCTCCACAAATAATATGCGTAAAGATAACTGCAATTATCCTGTAATTTAACCTGATTTCTTTAGAAAATAATATCCTTCTGACAAGGTTTTTGTCTTGAGTCAAGGTTTATGTAGATGTCTACCAAATCCCTGATTATGGAAATTGCTTACAATTTGGATGCCCATGAAATATTCCTGTTGTAATTCCCATCTCTTTTGTTGTGCATGCTTTGTAGTATGTATTACCTTGGTAACACTTCAAAAAAGGTAAAGGGCTGTTAGATGAGAGATGAGGTGGTGTTCATGGGTCATAAGTTTGGGTTATAAAAAAAGTTCATAGTAATAATCAAATTTTATGATCCATCTACCTTGTGGTAGGTGCCAAGCTAATACAAAACAAGACAAATCTCTTACCCAGGGGACAAGCAACCTTAAGTTCACACGTCTTTAATTCATTGTGGAATATACTTCCTATTGTTTTTGGCCTACATGCAACCTCTCAAGACACTTGCTTTGAAATATTTTTATTTTGTTAGCATATAGTGTTGCAATTTAAACATGGTAGGAAAATACATTAAAAGCCAATTTTCCCTTTTGACTTATGTATAATAAAAGTTAGGCATCATTTGCTAGATTGGATTTAAGAAGAAAATAATTGAAGTATATATCTTTTCAACATTAAAAAATTTCACCTCAGACATTAAATTATATTCTCAATTTATAAAGCCATAAAAAGATATTTGTATTTAATATATTATATATTTATTGTAAATATTGATTTATATAAATTATGTATTTATTATAAACAAATATACTTATTTATACCCTACTCTGGGAAGGAGCTCCAGGAAAAAAATCCAGTTAACTAATCTATGAGGAGGGTTTTGTCTGTTCATTCAGAAAAACGATAGAGTAATTCATTCACTATGTCTTAACTTTGCAAGATATTTAATCCCCAACCATGATGGCTTTTAGGAAGTACATGCAACACCTAGTGAAAAAAAACAGCCTACAATTTAATTCAATACAGTGCCAGGGTTGCGGAAATCATAAGTTGGAGGGAAGACAACATTCAGCTTAAAAAGAGGAGAGAAATCTGAGGAATTAATATTGGTCCTGAAGTGTGTGGGTTTCACTTTCTTATAGCATCCTGGGTCCCAACAGTACAGTGAAAAATCACCTTAGGGGTAGTATTTACAGCTGCAAGAATTACCTGAGGGGCTCGAGTTTAGAGACAGCCCGTCAAATCTTTGTTTGTTTAAAAAGCCTAAGGCATACTGCCAAATTGGTTAAATGTACCATGTCTGAATTCACTCAAGCATGTTACCACAGTGAAATTAAAGAAGAAATGAAAAGGGAGCTGATCCGTTATAACTAGATACAATAAATGAGACTCAAGATTATATTATAAACTTTACTATGTTTAATGTACAGTGGGTGTGACACTGACAAATGCTCTTCTGAGGAAGTTCTCTATATCATACTCATACTTGACTGACTCAGATCCCTGTACTGTCTGTTGACTCCTCTGTTAATACCTTTAAGAAGAAAACCATAATATTATATATTTTGGCTATACGACATTTGAATATAAAAGGTGAAATAATGTGTTTATTAAACCAAAAGTAAATTTACTTATAAAGAATTAAATGCTGGGAGGCAATATTTACTACAATTAGTTCCTGCTCCTCCCCTTGAGCAAAACACTAATTTAGAAAAGGCAAACTCTTTTCAGTGTGGTTCATAGCCCTCCAGCTGCCTGGTTTACTAAGAAACTGCAGCATTTCAGTGTCAGGTTTTTTTGTCGGTAACTCAACAGTGAGAAAACAGTTTCTTTGTAGGGCCTCTGAATATAGACATCAATTTTATCACTTTCTAGAAATTTACCATAAGCTCATATCAAATAGTTATTTTTTTTTTTCTAGCACATCCAAGGAAGCTAAATTGTGCCCACAGGTAAGAAAAGACTGAATCCATGAAGGGATGTAGAAGACTAACAGGGAGGTGGGAAAGGGAGTCTCACACTGCCTTTACTAACACTGACTATTTACATGGACTATTAACGTTGACTATGTCCAATAGCTGGGGAAATATGCGGTCGATGGATTTTTAGCTGATGGAGTGTCTGCATTTTTCCAAATCACCTCTGTGAATTTGCAAAGAGGGCCGGGTGTCACCTGACCTGACTGGCAGAAGCAATGAGCAACACTTAGGTCAGGGGAGTTGACTTTAACATTATGGGCACCACTATAGCGATGGTGTCAGCATAAGCTGCTACAAATGAAACGATATGCAGAATATAGTGCAAAATTGAATCAATTATCCTGTATTTTCTGAAATACTCATGTATTCTTTGCTCTCTAGGCAAACCCAAGTACTCAAGTTTGTTCCCTATTCATATTTCATGTTTTCCCACCTTTTAATCTTTTAATTCATGCTATTCCTTTTGCCTAAAATTGGTTTCTTTTCTTCTGCCATCCCTAAATGTCCAAAGCCTATCACATACATTTCAAAAACCACCTCCAAAATACCTTCTGTTCTTAGCCTTTCACCTACCCTTGTCCCTTCTTACAGAAGTCTTTCTCTTCTGAGCTCTGAAATAATTTAATCTGCCTAGCTCAAGCTATTAATCATGTTCACCCCAGTTACAGGGTTAATTATGGGTATGTGGTCCCATAAATATCAATAAACTCTTTGAGGATGGAATCTGTATCTAATTGATATTTGTATCTCTTAAGCCACTTTCCATAGGAGGTACTCAGTAGACATTTGTCTGGTAAGTACACTTATTGAAAATCAAGACAAAAGTGACGCTTGGGGATTGAATTGCTCCAATTCAGCTAATTGCTCCATTTTTTTCACTGAATTAGGGTACCTAGACAAAGCTCTTGCTCCCTAGGCTCCAGCACAGTCTTTCCTAACCTCTTTTCCCTTTATTTTTAAATCCCTTTAGGCTCAGGAAAGGCCTTTTTCCTCAATCCCACCCAAGCATCCTCCTACTTGACCTAGTTATTTGATAGAAGAATTAGGTAAGCAGCCTAGGGACCAAACAATCTTAGTCTTTTTTTCCCCCCAAAGGTTTGGATGACTGAATATTGCTCTCTAGGCAGCAGATAATTTTGCTCTTGAAATTCTGTGATAACTCCAGAGAGTGCAGGATCTCAGAGAACAGACTCTCCCCACTCTTTTTGAGTGGGTCTTAAAGTCAGCACCCAACTTCTGGAGTAAAACCCTTAGAATCTTTGACAGTCTTCATGTATTTCTCCATACCCACAGAGTCCTGACCATTTTTTCGTGAGAACAGCATCTGCGATTTGGGTCTACCTCTGGGTTCCCACAGCCACCATCCTAGACTGAACCTGCATGTAGCCACTATTTGCACTGTAGCCGACACACAGTCATGTCACCAGGCTTCAGACCAAGTTATTCCTCTTCCAAGCTGTATGACTTTACGTAACCTCTTTAAGGTTTTGTTTTCTCATCTGTAAAATGGGGACCATAACTCTTTACATAACTTTACAGAATTGCTGAGAAGGTTAAATAAGAAAAGACATATAAATCATGTAGCACAATGTCTGGAGCACAGTAACCCTTAAACTTAAGAAATGGTCTTATCTGTTCCCCTCATAAGCATATTCTTTTCTCCACGCATTGACTTCCCTATGTAAGATGACTTCTCTTCTCTTTTCTTGAGAATTCTATCCATCCACCAGTTGACTGCAATGATGTTCTACATCATTCTATCCATAATTGATCTGCTTCTCTTTTCTGTAAGCATCACTTCACTTATTTTCTATAGCATACAAATTAGAAATGGTATATATTATTTTGCATTCTTTCCTCTTGCCTTATGAATGATAAACTTGACTGTAAAATCTTTCAGATTGGGGTCATAGTTTATGGTCAAGTGTGCCTTGGCCTAGTGGTGCCTAGCCTAGTGCTATCATATAAAAAGTAAACAATAAACATGTATTGGCTCAACAACTGAAGGAAATGCTGAAAGACAAAAATTGTAGATTCTTTAGTGGAGTGACTGAGTTTTTCCAGAATTTTTTATGATTGTCTGTTTTATTAATTTTAAGTGTGGAAAAAATGTACTAGTCCATTCATAAAGTCCTTTGGCATCATGACATGTCTTTAATCTTCAGTAGTTAAATATCATCACAGTCAAATGCAGTGATATAATAAAAAGCAATCTATTATCATAATAAATTGCCAGGAGGACAATCAGTCAAAATGGCAGTTCCCTGACATCTTGCCATCCCTAGTCTCCCTCCACAATGTGTGACATGAGCTAATTTTTATGTTTTCTGTATGAAAGGAATCATGGAAATCTGATCATTGATGTAGGAGCACCAGGAATAGCTTATATAATATGTCAAATTTGCCCATTGTATTCAGGATGCAACTCAGATGTAGGCATTTGTATTCAAATTTAGTACAGCGTTAATCAATTTGGAAAATACCTGTCTTCATGGTCCAAATGCCACAGGTAGTTGAACAGCCAAATCAGTGTAAGACATTGAACAGAGCAGGTATGATGGCCCAAGAGTCTCATTAGTTATATGTGGATTTTTTATAGGATAAGAAAGACTTCATTGCTCTGACAAGAAGTTATTCATCTACATCTTAAAACTGGCAAGACATTACAATTTCATGGTTCTATTCCTGTCACTAGGCATGCCACGAACTCTAATGCTCCACTGATGTGTTGAAAATATTACACGTGGGAGATGGTGAAAGCAGCATCTGTCTCACACACTCAAGCTGCCTGCTCTTTCACCTCCAGTCCTCTGGACATTGTTGTCAACTCTCAGCTCCCCAGATTCCTACTCCAAGTAGTATCACGTCTGCTGCCAGGCTTAGCGATTCTCTCCAGGCAACTTATGGCAGTACTTGTGGTACTTCCCCCGTGTGTATCTGTTTAATGCTTTGATGGTTGTTTAATGGCTCCTCTCAAACACCTATTCGTGAATGACAGGGTTATAAATCCCAGCATAAGCGAAAGTCACACAGTAGCAGAAACATCAGGGAAATCACAGAGATGATCAGGACATTAGATCAGTTACCTGAACAGTTATGCTCAATACCCTCCTCCCCTGCCCCTAACTCCCCTTTACATTCCCAGGACACCTACTAAATTTGCAATTGCACAAAGGAAAGAAAAGCGTTGAATATTTGCTTTCTAAAAGAGAGAAAGAAAAACAATATTTACTTCCTTTGCTTGTCTGCAATCAAGTAAGAAGCTTATTCATGCATTTTAAATTAAACCCTTATTTTAATAGCTAAACACAAAGAGCAAACACTCAGAAAGTGGACTGTCTCTGTAACATTTGCTGGGAGAATTTTGCATGCTATAGTTGGCATTGTGGTTTTATTACGTCACTTTATGGGCAGTAAGATTAGTTTTTTTTTTCAAGTGCAATTTATCTGAAGGAAAATATTAATTTGGAGGTTATTATCACAGTACTGAATTTCAATGTAATTCTCCAACTCATTAAAAGCTATGAACTGCTATGTGCCTTTTATGCCAAAATATCCAAAACTGGAGTGAAAGGATGGGGATAAAATTCCTAAAGGGCAGTGACACCTAGGTGCTGAAACCCTGTCCTCACTCCAGGAGACGTGTATTGCTGCCTCTTCAGAAGGATTTTTCTTTTATGTTAGTGTGACTACTTCCTCTTAAAAGTTTTAAAAACATACAGCGGCTTGCTTTCTTCATCAGAAACTTAAACAACTGATGTCTAGGTACTTGCCCAGGATTTGAACCCTTAACTAACAGCTCTTTCCCTCAATAAAGCTCAGTAACAAAAATAATATTTCCAGAAGACTGGCTAGATATTATATTCAAGGGACAATTCCTATTGTATTCAGTGTGATCCTTTCTCCTATTTCTGATTGAATGAGTGGAAAAAAAATGGAATCACAATAAAGTTTTCACAATAAAGTTTTATATTGCTACTCAGAAACTCTCTCCAATATTCTCCTTCATTTATTTTCCTATGTGAAGGGTTTTCTATATTTATTTTCAAATATACAGGCTTCCTTTATATTACCATATGAGAATTTACATTTAACAAGTATGTGGTACACAAAGATACTTTATAGATTATTTAAAATTTTAAAAAGAAATCTGGTGACTATAAAAACTGCCAAAAAAATGATGTTCCATATTTTACAGGGATCTTCAGTGCTCCCAACAACAATATATATTTTTTCATTGATTTAGGACTGGCTGGGAAGGAAGTTTGTATTGAACGCTATAGTAGGCAGAATAATGGCCTCTCAAAGATGGCCACATCCTAATCCCCAGAATCTATAAATATGTTATCTTACATGGCAAAAGCATTCTTGCTGATGTGAGTAAGGACTTTGAGATGGGAAGAATATCTTTGAGTATCTGGTTGGGCTCAATGTAATTACAAGGGTCCTTGTAAGAAGGGGGCAGCAGATCAAGTGAGTAGAAGGTGATGTGAAGAAAGGAGCAGAGAGGGAAAAGGCATTGGGATGAAGGGCTATGAACCAAGGAATGGGGGTGACTTCTAGAAGCTGAAAAAGGCAAAAACACAAATTCTCTCCTATAGCATCAATAAGGAATGCAGCCCTTCCCACACGTTAATACTCGCCCTGTAAGATTCATTTTGGACTTCTGACATCCGGGGCTATAAGACAATAGAGTTGTCTTGTTTTAACCCACTAGGTTTATGGTAATTTATTACAGCAATAATAGAAAAGCAATATAGACCCCCAAATTAAGAGTTTAATTAGAAACCTTCTCTTGATATTTCTCCAGCTGGCCTTTGTTGGGCAGATGCCCATCTCTGCTGTCTGTTGAGCTGTTCTCTTTTAGCTTTATTTGTAGATATCATTTAAGACAGATGCTCTCCTTACCCAGTGTGTCCCTGATCTCTTGCAGCTCACATTTTACTGGGAAGAAATAGATGTTACACAAATGTTGGTAGATGATAAAGCAGGTAGTAAGACAAATAAAACAAGGAGATAGTGATGTTTTAGTGCTATGTATTTATTTCGAGGTAGTATTTGATCTGGTTTAATAACTTTTTTCAAGAATACATCTCAAATTCTGTTTCTATGTTCTTATAAATTATTTGTCCACAAAAGAGCGTTCATTTGGGACTCCCAGACTCTTTCTTGTTTCAATAATATCCCATCTCTCATCACATATTAGAAAGCTAGGTGTTCCTTATTTTTAAAACGTAGCCATAATTAGCCATGTAGAAAATAGTACAAGAAACATTTGGATGCAAGTGCCAAATCTGAATTCCAAGACTTCAACAGCGTAAGATATTTCTATCCTCTTTCTTTGAAGTTGC
Organism: Homo sapiens; assembly: GCF_000001405.40. Taxonomy (NCBI): domain Eukaryota; kingdom Metazoa; phylum Chordata; class Mammalia; order Primates; family Hominidae; genus Homo; species Homo sapiens. The sequence goes on from NC_000002.12 coordinate 192,093,617, forward strand.
TGAATGAGAACCAGACAAAAGAGACGGCACCAGGAATCTCCATAGAAAATTGTATCATCTGATAATGAGTAGACCCCGGCCCAATCAGACCTTATTTGCCACTTCTAGATCCACTGCTGTGATTTTAGGGTTGAAACCCAAGGTAAAAGCCTTTGTGATTACGTTTAAACCTGGAGAACTCCAATGTTAAAAGGAATATATTTCTTAAAAAAAAAAGAAAAAGAAGAGGGAAAAGAACAGTAAGAAGACAAGACTAGAAATCAAAAGAAAAAAAAGCGAAGTGAAAGGAAAAGAAACTTGCGTTTTCATCTAAGTTGAGGCTGGTCTTAGAGACACATGGATCCATGTTGCTATGGCCAGGATTAGGTTTTTGTTGTGTTTTCTCACGCCTGTGGGTTGTTTATAGATTCACAGTATTAGCAGTAAAGTTCTGATAATTCTCTACATTGTCACATTTTAATGTGGTTACTTTTGGATGTACTTATTATTAATTTGGTTTGAATGAAGCTTATCCACTTTATTTAAATATGTGTTTGAAAAGGAGAAATGTTGAGATACTTCATTCTGGTTGAAGTTTTTGAGTCTGTCAGCTTAGACTGAGAGGGTTGAGTACAATTGTGGCTTACAACACAGATAAAAGTTGAATGCTATACAACTTTTATTATCATGCTCCTCATGTTTCTTTGCATTTGTTCTCATTTTAATGTGTGATGCAGCTTCTCAACCTACTTGTATTCCACGTGATGTACATACAGCTAGGTTTCAAAGGCACTGACCCAAACGCATTTCAAGTGGTAACTGAATACTCTCAATAAAATTCTACCAGAGGCCAATGGTAGAAAATATTCTACCAGAGGCCAGAGGACAAAATATTCTTAGCAGTGTGTGTGTGTGTGTTTGTGTGTGTTTGGTCAATCTACACACCTCAATTTTTACCCTCTCTTAAGCTATTTGTGGCTGAAGAGGATGCCCTCGGAGAGAAAAAAAACAAATATTTTCAAACTTGATGAAAGAAGTCTCTTCTTAAACCAGTCTATCTATATGTGATCAGAGATCATGTTTGAAAATTTAGTCGAATTTTATTTATACTTGGTTGACACCCTTTAAATGAAGCCTGTGATTTTAATGTTTGATTAAGAAAGTATTTGGAAACATGCTTCCTCTCCTCTAGTAACTGTTAAATTCACCTTAAGAATTATTACACTTTCTTTTTCTTGATTTGCAAAGGGCATGATAATCAATAATAACTGTAAAATAATATAGAACAATTAGTTTTTCTTGCATGTTCACAATTTGTGTTGACATCAGTTGGCAATTGTTAGTGTATACATTGGAGAGGGAGCTATTAAGCTTCCAATAATTAAGTTTCAAACTTACTGCTATTTTTAGCAGTTTTTGGCTTTAAACAAAGGATTTTTGAAAAATTTATATTCCAGCATCCCACTAGCAACAGAAATGGATGTATTCTCCTCTAGAACCCAATGACTAGTTTTTTTTGCCATGTGGTTCTTAGTTATCCACAGCCAGCTTTCCTTTCTGTGTAGACTGCAGAGTCCTATTAGGCTTCTTCCTTTAGAGTCTACAAATCTAAAGCTTGGAAGGCAACTTGGGTAAGAGAAAATAGTTGAAGCCATAGAGAAGCCTCTCAAATTGCTGGGATTACAGGTGTGAGCTGCCACACCCGGTCCTAATTTATTTTTAAGAGTGTTCCTTGCAATATTAAAATTATACAGTTATGTTGGCTCATGTCTGTAATCCCAGCACTTTGGGAGGCCAAGGTGGGAGGATTGCTTGAAGCCATGAATTCGAGACCAGCCTGGGCAACAAAGCAAGGCCCTCATCTCCATGCACAGACACACAAGTAAATTAAAATAAAATAAAATTATACAGTTATGAGAAAACACAATAAACCCAAAACTTTTCCTGCAGCAAAAGAAATATAGAAAACAATTATTTCAAACAAAAATAAAGAAACAACAACAACACAAATCCTCATAATACAGATAATTTTGTTACTAATTTATTGTAGAGGCAAAGATCAAAAGACTTTCCAAAATGATCCTCACAATAAACTAATGGCAAAGCTAGAAATATCAGTTATTCAACCTACCACTTCTAAATTCAGGCCTAGTGCTTTCTGCACTCTGGGAGCGCAGCTTTTAGTAACTTACTTTAAATATACAATAAATAAGAAATAATTAACTGACAAAATATTTAGCAAATAAATAATAAATATACAGCAAATAAAATGTATGTAAGAGAAGTATCCTTCCTAGTTTTTGACATAATCCCTAATTTGAGGTTAAGATATTAATATATTCAGAGGTCATATGACTAACTTAAAAGATGTTTTGGACATTTGTAGTGGCTTAGTCTTCTGTTATTACCCTTTAAATTGTGAAGAGGTTTTCATAATGAGAAGTGGTATTATGGGAATTTAAAACACTGCTCTACAGAACACTTACTGGCAGGAAAATGGCATTTGGATGGGTGTTCTACTATGAAAAACAAAGCGGTTGATATTACTTAACTTTCTCTTCTGCTCAAACTATGACTTGGTCCCCCATTAATGTTACAATGAAATCAATGGAATATTCATTGGGCCTGTTTCATTTCAAAGGACAGTTTGAGCCTTTTATATAAAGAGATTTTCAACTGAATTAAAAAATTTTATACACATAAATGTAGACGGAGCACTAGTACAAAACAACAGACATGTGACTGTATGCTAGATTAATTTTTAGTGATTTAAAGGGTACTATTATAAGAGGTTTCTTTAAAATGTCATTTGGAAATTAATACTCATTCTACATATAAGAGATATTCCTTGCATGACTGATTTTTTCAATTAATCCTTTATGCCTACAAACAATTTTGTTTTACAAATGAACCCATTATTCTGAATATTATTTTAAAAATTTAAAATTGAGTGTATATTTAAATTTCAGTCTTTGTAAAATTAGTTCTAAAACACCAATATATATTTTATGTCCATTTTAGTGCTATTTCTTTTTTTCTTTTCTTCTTCCTTCCTTCTCTCTCTCTCTCTCTCTCTTTTTTTTTTTTTTTTTTTTTTTGAGGTGGAGTTTCGCTTTTATTGCCCAGGCTGGAGTGCAGTGGTACAATCTCAGCTCACTGCAACCTCCGCCTCCTGAGTTCAAGTGATTCTCCTGCCCAAGCTTCTCGAGTAGCTGGGATTACAGGCATCCACCACCAGGCCCAGCAATTTTTGTATTTTTAGTAGAGACGGGGTTTCACCATGTTGGCCAGGTTGGTCTCAAACTCTGGACCTCAAGTGATCCGTCTGCCACGGCCTCCCAAAGTGCTGGGATTACAGGCATGAGCCACCAGGCCCGGCCCATTTTAGTGCTATTTCTTAGTATTTAATGTGCTAAATATAGTATTTGGTAAAGAATGAAATCATCAAATTTGTGTGTATACTGCCTCTTGCAAATAGCACAGCAGTTATAGGTACACACATTTTCAAAAAACTTAAGAAAATCATGTTGGCTTCACTTATAAGTATTTATTGAGATGATTTAACAAAAATTAAGCGTGCACTTCTACACGTGAAAAGCTCCTTTAATTGTTTATTACAAGCATACTTACTACATTGTGCACAGCACGTTTTGCAAAGGATTGCAAGTAAAAAGATCTCACAACAGAAGTACATAGATTTGGTTGTAATTCCAGTTGATTGTTGATTTGTTTCCTGATTCATGTGTCTGTATCATCTTATCTACTCAATCAAAACTTACAAAGAGCATATATTCCTTAACATATATTCTTTAGCTATGCTAACAGAAATATTTTGTTAGCTCAAAAGCAATCATCTGTCAATTTAGACAATAATTCACCCAAACATTTCGAATAGATTTTAAGATACAACAGACACCCTCAATGGACCTACCATACACTCTTCTCTCAGAGAAAGAATTATTTGACTGCTCATTTTTAATCTTAACAAAATGGAATAAATCTTAATTACAATTTTCAATTCATTCTCCTGTTTATGCGATATAGCAGGAATAAGACAAATACACAGGTCACGTCATTTCTCAACTGCACTTCACTATGTGCCCTTTGACCTCCATTATTAGTATTTATTAAGGTCTTTATATTTTTATTTTTAATTAGACTATACAGATATATCACTGAAGAGAATGTGTTTGCATTCAAAGCTCGTATTAGCCTAAAAATTTTATAAATGAATTAAAGAAGGTGCGCAGTTAGGATCCTAGGCACAATACGTATAATATCACATTTACACTTGGCCAAAGTATTATTAAGTGATAACAACAGTCTCTGTTTTCAACAGCAGCTTGGACGGAAGGGAGAATGAAGAAAAGAAAGGTCACAAGCATTTGGTGAATGACAATTAATTTGCCACAATTAACCAAATACTGAGGTAAAATGTCGTGAATTCTGTGCTTTCTATTTAAATAGTACACATCATCACTTGACAATGCTTTTGGCTAGGAAGTGATCTAAAAATAATATTCTCAAATTTGAATTTAACCACAATAGCAAAGTGAAATAAAATACTAGCTTACATGTTCTTTAAATACAAAAGTGACTTTTTGCTCAGTGAGTGCCAGGTAACATTCTATCAAGCAAAACAACGTCAATTCAAACCTTATTTGAATGAAACCTTGACCTCCCTGTTTGAAAAAGAATATTTAAAATTATGTGTGTTTAATATTTGAACATGTTTGGTCAATATGAAACCAATATTTTCAAAGTAATTGATTTGTCTGCCATTCGGAATTAAAATAATTTGCTCCAAAAAATTTCTTCATTATCTGACAAGACAAGCTGCTCAAACGAGAGTAGGAAAGTGTTAAGGGACTGTCTTTAAAGGAAATACTCTGAGGTTGCCAGTAGACGTTTCCTGATTTGACAGTGAGATTTACGAATAAGGGAGAACCAAGGTACTACCATGTTTTCCAGTTTAGTTTATAGCAGGGCAGCTGAGCTGGAGGCAGAAGCCATCTGCTGCTCGTCTCTCAATTGGATGATAAAAGTAAAGTTTGAAAAATAAATAAAAATTAGCTAAATTGGCAGTTCAATAAAGCTGCAGTTCCTGAAGATTTTCTCTCCTGGGTAAAATGGTACCTCCAGGAAGGACAGCAGGATGGCTAAAAGCACATCTTTGCCAGCTAGCCGATCATCATAATTCATTATTTGTATGTGAGTGAATACTACAAAATTTTAGAATAAGTCTTGAGAAGACTTTGATGACATTTTATTCAGTTTAGTTATTCACCAAAAAATTGATTTGAATTTTTTCAGAGTACTTCAGTTATAGAAACCAGGCATGAAACTTAATGGCGTTGGTTTTTTAAAACAGAGGTATTATATTTTTGAAACTCTCAACAATGCAAACCTTCCAAAACCACTTTAGTACTTGGTTCATATTCTCCAAAGACAGCCAGGTACCATCATAGGACACCCATACTGAGGGAACCAGCACAAAGCATGGACACACTCAGTTGAAGGAGAGTCCACAGAGAACTCCTTCCCTATTTTCCTTCCCTTTTTTTCCTCTTTTCAGGTTGTTACCATTTCAATCTTTATAGTAAACAAAATGTTATTTTGTTCTTCTCACATAGAAATAGGAACTGAAACTCTGGGTAACTATTATAGGTAAATTTCATTCCTTAGTAACCAACAAATATATTTTTGTTTGTGTGTTTATTTGTTACTACCTAAATAATGTCTAGGTAGGTTTCAATCCTTGACAGTAAGTAAATCCATGAACTAATTCTTTGAGAGGCTTAGGACATTAGATACTGTGGCAGCTTTTAGATTTACTTTTTTATTCAAGCCAGACACTTTTGCATATAGATTTCTTGTTCCCATTGTGTTTCGAATTTTCTTGGGTTGGCAATGCTCTGTTTTTCTAAACCCTTGAACTCAGAACAAAATGATTTTCTTTATTCACAATTATGTAAGAATAACTTAAATTGTCCAGGTTATTTGGCGATTTCAGATGGCCCATATACGAAGCCCCACAACTTACAGAAGTTGGCTTCAGTTTTTTGGTATTGATTTTTTTGAACAACTATCAAATTAATTATTAGCTGTCTATCAAACTTGCACAAATAGCTAGGGTTTTACTCCCATGCATATGTATTCCCACAATACATAATAATGATGGGATTGCTTTTTTTTTTTTCCATCTTAGGAGTGATGGCATATTTTGGTTCAGTAGTGCTTCTGAATCAACATAGTTTGACAAATAGATCAGTGGAAAAAATATAGACAGCTTTTGGTTTTTCAAACTGTTTTTATATGTATTACTCAAGTGTATTCCAAAGATCACCCCATATCTTGGCCAGAAAAGTTATTGACAAATGCCCACAGTAAGAAGTGCCAGCCTAATAATGAATTACAGTCCTGTTCACACTTTTATTATCAAAGTTAGTAATTGCTTTAAAATAGCCATAAAAATAATTTTGAAATTCAATAAGCCTTTTCATATTTTATATTAGGAAACCAGCCTTACTGAATTTAATTCAAATTTAATTACATTAAACAAACATATATTGAGTGCCTACAGAGACTGGTTTTACTTAAAATACACTGCGCACATTTCAAGGTAATTTCTTGATTGGCTTGGAGGCTTAAAATCTGATCTTGTTCATGATGGTGTGTCAGACTGTGGTCTGCTGGAAACTTTTGTCCAGAAAGCCTTGCCTCATGCCTGGGCTTTCAGGAAAGTTTGACTTCAAATGTTATTTTCCAACAATCCTCTGTCATGTCACTGTGACCGAAGTCTTCTAGCATGCATTTTCAAAGCACATCTTCTATACTTCCAACTTCTGGTTACTGCACTTAACCTTATCGAACAAAGGCTGTTTGGGTAGAATGACTATCTTCACTCACTACTACTGTGATACTTAGTGAAGAATGACCCTTTTATTAATTTGGTAATTAAGTTATGGGAAAACACACACTAATATTAAATGCTAAAAACAAACAAACCAAAAACCAACTAGTGGCTTAAGTATAGAGATAGCCAGTAAAGTAGAGCTGTTTAAAACTCCTTGGATTTCCTCAAATGAAGGGGATAACAAGGTTTCACTTATAGATGTAAAATAATCTGATTTTTTATCTGCATGTTGACAATCTTTTTAAAATTAAATACTCCTGAAATTTCCAAGCATCCAGAAAACCATAAAATGCAGATTATATATTATAGTTCACGGTGATCAAAATGTTAAGTATTCAGGAGTGTATACCATCACAAATATGTTTCCTTATATGAGTTCCTTTTGAATTTGCAACTTATTTGCACAAATTTTATATTACTCCTTTATGGAGACACATGAAGTTTCTTAGCTATCTGTGAGTAGAACAAAATTTTACCAGCTGTATCTCCTTCCTCTCGCTTATTATAAACTGTACTTGAGAATAATGCCACTCTGTGTTTTATGAAGAACAGAGCATTGCAAACTGGATTTCCATATCACATTATAGTTCATGGGATGTTAAGTATACCATGAAAAAGAAATTTCCCAGGACTTGGTTTACTGTGTTTCAGCAGCTTAGCTAGTGAAACAGTAGAGTTTAATTATGCAGCCTCCTCAGAGTCTGATGGGCAGCTTTCACTGCAGGGCTGGAAGAGAACAATACTGGGGTTATTACCCAAAATAATTTTACCGTGTAATTAGTTGTGTGATATTACCAAATTGAAGTCATGTGCAGAGGCAATTGAAGAATATATAGCCAAAAATGGATTAAAAAATGAAAAAAACTCTAGAGGATCATGTTATTTACAAAACAACAATATAGTTACTTTTTTCTGCAGTTTATAATTTGTGTGGTATTTGTTAACTTTTTAAAATTCATATTTTGCTATGTTTTATTTTCTCTACATGAATAAATACTCACTTTCATGCCTAATTTTGTATTCTTTCTCTTAAAATGTGATCTCAAAATCTAATAGGGCTTGAATCCTACTTTAGGTACTGTTATTTTATAAAGAACCAAAGTGAGAAACACAGCTGGCAAATGGATGAGCTGGGATAGGAACCCTGTGTTCTGATTCATTTGTACATATGTTGAATCACTAGACTGACTATGCTATGTCCCAGGCAGCATCTCATGCTATAACAAAAGACTGAAAATGCAGACTGTCTTCTCGCTTAGACATCTAGTCAGCCTGGAGAATGTACTCTCTTGTAACGAAATATTAGGCAACCTAAAGAAAATATCTGAAGGGGACAGTCAGGTCCACAAAAACAAGTATGATGTTAACTCCGGTGACGATACATGCTCTGGAATTCCTAAGTTCTGTGCTTTACAGTTTCCCTATCAATAAAATGGTGGTGATGATTATTATGTGCTGTTGGAAGAGTAAATGAGATTCTACATATAAAGCATACAGCACAATGTCTGGCACATACAAAAGCTCCATAGATGTGATTTAACTTAGTTTTGGCGTGACTAAGCTACAAAATTAGAAGGAATTAGAAAGCTAAATAATAAATAGTATGTCTGGGAGAGGTATATAAAACACTATGCACAAATTATTGAAGCTCATATACTAAGAACCTATTATCACATAAAAAAGAAAAACAAAAAAAATGAAGCCTGCATTTACTTCTCTTTCAGCTTTTAGCTAACCATTTTGCAGTGGTTAGTCCAGGAATAAAGGACATGCTTACAAGCTTATCACCAGCACACAGATCACGTATTCTTCTGTTAAAAAACCATCTCGGAGCATTTTCTTTCACTCAGAATAAAACACAAAGTCTTAACCATGGTTGTGTATAGGGTCCCACGGGTGTGCCTCAACTCCAAGCCTATTTTCCATGCTTCTCTTTCTCCTCACTCTGCTCCCCTACTCTAGCCTTCTTGCAATTCTTAAGACAGGACCTTTGCAGTTGTCCCCAGTGGTTAGAATGCTCTGCTCCTAGATATCTCCATGGCTCCCTCTCTCCTTCCCCTCCTTTTATTTTTATTTTAATATCATCTTCTCAATAATTTCTTTCTTTTCTTGTTCTTTTTTTTTTTTTTTTTTTTGAGATCGAGTCTTGCTCTGTCACCCAAGCTGGAGTGCAGTGGTATGATCTCGGCTCACCTGTCGCCAGGCTGGAGTGAGGTGGCACGATAATTTTTGTATTTTTACTAGAGACGGGGTTTCGTCGTGTTGGCCAGGCTGGTCTTGAAATCCTGACTTCAGGTGATCTGCCCACCTCAACCTCCGAAAGTATTGGAATTACAGGCGTGAGCCACCACTCCTGGCCTCAATAATGTCTTTCTTGACCATCCTATTGAAAATTGCAACCTGTAGTTGATCCCTAAAATGAAACTCATTTTTTTTTTCTATGAGCATTCCGTGGTGTGGAATACTGCATCTGGGACTACTTGAGTTTTTCCCAAAAACTTTGGGTCACTCTGGACATTAATGATGGGAATAGTGACTTCTCACTAATTCAGACTTGGAGCTGGCTGCCCAGACACTCAGAAATTAAATTCTATTCTATCAATGATACTCACTGTCCTATAACTCAGTGTTTCATCGAACGTGGTACTTCTTGATCTTCTCTTTTTCTAAAACTCTGTTTTCTGATGTTTATCCCTGCTCCCAAGGAAATTCTTTTTATGAATATCACTATCCCAAAGTGGGTACAATTGCTGTCGTATTTCCTTTCTCCACGCCCCTTTCTTAGTACCAACTGACCACTCATAAGTACTTTCACCAATGACAGGTATTAGATTTTTTCTCATATCCTGTTCACACCTCTGCTTGGATTACGGCCTGGATATGGACCTTTTAGTTTTGGATTCACCTTAAGACATCTGCCCTCTTTTGTTTCTCCTTAGAATAATTGGTCTTTGTCTTGCTTCCATTTCAGATGTACAGTAATCATTTAGTTCAACTAGGACTTGGATCTAGCCTTCCTACTTTATCTTGTTCTTTTGCTAATTAGACATTAACGAAACCTGAGTTCTGACTCAGTATCTAATTCTTTGTGTTAAGTAAGCTTACAGGAAGGTAGTCTTGTTTTCAACTCTTCAGGTAAAGAACCTAGTAGAATGCTATATGAACCGTAAATTAAGTCACATTTAGACCTTGATTACAGGGCTCTCTTGGTAAGAATCAAAGCAATGGTGGGGTCATTAGTAGAATGAGAAGGAATATGAGAAATTGTATGTCTTTGTTTTATATGCAGAGATGCCATAGCCTTGAGGTGAGGGCATGCTTGGTGTGTTTGAGAGAGTAGAGGGAAAAAGAAAGATAGTGCTACGAGATAAAATCAGAGGAATAGCAGCGGGTCTAGATCAGTATACTGCTGTGAAGTTTATTATAAGACCTTTGGCATTTACTCTGAGCAAGATGGAAAAGCCACCGGGAGTTTTGAGAGGACTAACGCTTTCCAACTTTCATTATGAAGGCACATTCTGATGGTTGTATTGAAAAGAAAGCAAAGGAAAGCAACCACTAAAGCAGGGAGAACTAAGAGACTATTTTAACAATCCAGAGAGAGAACAAGAGATAAAATGTTGATGTTGGCTTAAGGTAAAAGGGGGTAGCAGTAGGCATTTCTAAGTACGCTGAATTTATTTCATAGGTAGCTTCTGACAGGATTTGCTGACAGAAGTAGCGTTTAGAGAAAATCAGGTTGACTCCAAAGTTTTTGGCATAAACAACTGAAGAATGCTGTTATTCAGAGAAAGGGAAAGAATATGGTGGGTGAAATTTTAGGGGGCAGATCAGAGTAATTTCCACTTAGGTTAGTTTTCTTTGAGTGAATACATAACCTATCTACATAAGAGGTTTTCTTTTAATGTCTCAAGACATAGGTCAAATATTTATAACCCTGGAAACTCATTACATTGTATACTCCAGCTTAGTCTTCTAACTCATATTGCAATATATGAAACCATTAAAATGGTAATAAAAAATAGAAAGTGGTTACTGGCAAACATTTTAATGCAAAAACCTGACAATTTTAAACCTCTTCTATTCATATTGTATTCATCTTGGATAATTTAACTGGATGAATTAAAGATAACATAAATTATTCAACTGTAAATGATTTGAAAGCAAACAGCACATTCATTTCATCATTTTTTTTTCCTTAGAGCCTTTCATTACAATTCAGCCATTCTGCAATTAATTGTCACAAATTTCTGGCCAATACATTCATTTCCTATCATATTCAAAGAAAATTATTTGAATTTAAAATTCTTACTCTAAATGAGGTATATTGAACATTTCGAATCTTGACAGTTTAATTCTATATTTGTGTCATGAAATCAGTTCTTTTCTTTTTACCTGTCTTATTTCTTTAAGTTAGTTATAGGTAAAATTGTAACCCTGACTGTTATCTCATGTTAACGCAAGACAAGAAAATATGTATGAATGTCGGGAAGAGATTTGACCTGGAAACTTTTCATTTATTGAAAAGGCTGCTTTTGAATTTTGTCACATGAATTATTACCAGAATCCTTTAAATATTCATATAAAGTTTAATTGATGTAGTAATGTTGGGCAACATACTCTTTTCATTTGACCTACTCTAAAGTGACACAAAGCTGTGTTTTTTCCCCAAATTATTTCAATGTTCATGAGATAGAGAGGTTGATTATATACATATTTTATGAAGTGTTACTGAAGTACACATAAAATTAATATTATTTTTCACATTTCCCCCTTATGTAATATACATTCTACAATAAATAAAACCACCTACTGAGCATATCTATCAAGTAATGAGCCTGTATTTTAAGCAGATATTTTTGAAATATTATAGGTAAAATTAATAACAGCTATTATTTTGTGAAGACATTCTAGTTGGAAGGCACTGAGCAATTTACTTTATATGCATTATTGCATCTATCCCTCACAACCACCCTTCGAAGAAGGTATTGTCATTATTTCTATTTTGTGAATAATGAAATGGTGGCTAAGAGCTGTTAGGTATGTTGTCCAACATCACACTATGGTAAGTGGCAGGAAACACTTTGAACCTAGGCAAGTTAACTTCAGAACTAGAAAGCTTCTTTAATTCAGTTGGCATTTCTGAATTTGCAATACTAAGTCATCATATACTACATGCCATTCATGTGCCATAATAAAACTAATTCCAAAACATATATGCAGAAAATGGAAGGTAAAAAAGGATCCAAGTTATTATATCCTTAATCCAACTGCATTTTCTTTATCAAGTACTTCAATATCTAATAGATAAGAATTGTACCATATCCCAATTTTGAGGAACACTTTAGAGAATGCAACTTGTGTCAGAAATAGGGTGCTTAACACAGTCACTATTGGGCATTCCAAAATACTACTGTTGCCAAAAGAAATTGGCAATAAAAAATGTTTGAAGGGCATGTTATTAGTGAATATCAATAGCTTTAACAATACACATATGTCTTGGGAAGAACACTTGCATTTTTAGGAATTAATCTCAAGAAAATAGTCCAAGATGAGCTAATGATTAAATTACATAAATGAAGCTAAAATAATTTAAATACAGTAAAAAATTAGGATATTTGAAATGTCCAAAAATAGAAATTATGGAGATAAGAAAGGAATGCTAGGCATTCATTAAAAATAATGTTTGAGGAGCATATTTATCAAGATAAAAAAGGTCATGATAAACTGCCATTAAACACAAAAATATATGTACAAAAAATGCATAAAATATATGTACAGAAAAATACATAAACTATGTACTACTTTGTGGGGTTAGAAGTGAAACTTGGTACATATGGGAGTTATTGTTGATATTGGAAATAAAATTAATTTCATTTTTATGGATGTTTTTGTTTCTTATTATAGAATAAATGTATAACTTGATAATAAACCAAAAAGTTATTTTCAGAAAGTTACCATTTCATGTTATTTTCTGTTCTAAAACACTGACAACACTTAGCCTACACTGTTTTCAAAAGATGTCCGTGATTTACCCATGTGTTAATTATTTTCTTTAATGAATAATAAAATTTACTCTTCTTAAAAATAACATTTTATAATCTATGCTTGAAAATGTAAAATTCATTCAATTCAAAATAATAAACTCTACTTCAGTACTCCCTATCTGCATGACACTTTTTTTGGTGTTTTGGTAAGTTCCAAGATGAATATATTGTCCTAGTCCCCATGGAGCTCACAAATAGAAAAAATAAAGCACATAAAGCCTAATTTTAATTTCAGATAACATGTAAAAATACATCAATAGTGGCAAAAGTTCTTTTAGTGGCAATGTGGTGAAAATTATTTCCCATTCAGTGAACGGAGAGAAGTTTACTGGAAATGATGGCATTTGATCTTGAAATTGGACTTGAAGAGTAAGTAGGACTTTTATAGGTGGAGTCAAAGAGTTAGGCATGTCTATTTGGCTGGGATTACATGAAGGGCATGTAGGGAGTAAGGCAGAGTAAAATGTACGGTTTATTTTATACCCTGAGTATTTGATGAGTAATAGTGAAATATAAGGCTGAAAAGAGAGTTAAAATGAGTTCCAAATATTCTGAGAAAAAAGACTAAAAGTGTTTGTACTTTATTCTCTATTTACTGTGGAGTTATTAAAACTTTTTCAGTTAGAGAATTACATTATGATAAAGCATGAATAATATTAATGTTAAATGCACATAGGATTAAGGCACTACTGATTCAATACCCATGAACTGAACCCTGGATTCTGGGTGCTTCAGCATCACTTACTGATGAAGAATCTTGATATTGTCATGGATTAGCACAAAAGAAAAAGAAAATTTCCAGAGCTTCCTTCTTTCTTTCAGCTAGAGAACCTGGAAAACTTTATGTTCTCTTCTACTTCAGACATTTTAAAAAGATTCTTAAATTTACCAAGGAGAATGTTTTTATATCTTACCATGAACGTCAGTGTAAATGCTATGCTAGATAAAATAATTTGTAGGAAATGAAGATATAGTATTAGGAAAAAAATAGCTTTTTTAAAGCAGAACTGCCCAATTTATACAATCTCTAGAATCTCATATGCTGATAGTCTATCAAAACAAGGAGCTAAAGTTTTTTATAGACTTGGAAAATGTATATGCATTCACAAGATATTCTTCCTATGTTTATAAGACACTGAAGTCTTTGTTAGTTTCCCAAATATAATAATTCAAGTGTTTTCTCCACGTATGGCAATGTGAGTATATACACTGCAGTAAGAATGAAAATTCCTGTATCCCAATAAAATTGACTCAGTATGTCAGTAGTGCAGAACAATCAAGAAATCACAAGGCAAAATGGGAAATTAAAAGGTCATCCTATTCATCCTCTATCTGCCTTACAAAACTATCTCTCTAATTCTAATTCTATACAAAGATAGAAACAATATAACTGTTTTTTTTTTTAGAAAACAGATAATTTCTGTCATAACTTCATAATGACAATGTGTTATAAACTAAATTTCTTTCTTTTGTTCTGGCACTGAATAGAAAAAAGTGTAACCAGATAGCTAGTCGTTCGTTATATGTGATCAATTATCTTACCTAGTTCAAACAGGTCAATTTTTTAAAAAACTTATTTTTAGAGCAGGCAATTAACTCTGATATTTTCCATAGACAAATTACTAATCTAGCCAGTAAATTCAAGATGAATACTTTTGCTTATTTGGACCTTGGACAAAACAAAATACAACAAAACAAAAAGTAGCTAAATCAGAGTAATGTTTCTGATTCCCTAACAACAACTTGAATTGGATGCAATATTCATATGGATTATTAGTGTAATCCACATGTATGAAAGACAGGGCATTATTTAAATGTAATCTTTTTTTAAATGAAAATAAATATTAGATTATTCCATAGCCTTCTTTACACTAAAAGTCTTTTTCCAGGTCATTGTGCTGATGCTTTTTAACCTTCGTGTTTAAATTCTTTAATGTCGTTAACACATTGCAACAAATTCTTTATGATTTCTAAATTATCAAACACTGAATTAATACTATACTTGAAAAATTAACAATGAGAGGAACCCTGTATGTGGGTGGAAATGTAAAATAGTACAGTCACTGTGGAAAAGAGTTTGATGGTTCCTCAAAAAGTTAAACAAAATTATCATTTAGCCCAGCAATGACACTCCTTGGTGTATACTAAAAATAACTGAGAACAATTATTCAAACAGATACCTGTACGCCAATATTCACAGCAGTGTTATTCGCAAAAGCCAAAAGGCAGAAACAACACAAGTGCCCATAAACTTATGAATAGATTAAAAAATGTAATATATAGATACTGATGGAATATTATTTAGCCATAAAGAGCACTGAAGTGCTGATTTATGTTACAACATTAATGAAACATGCCAAGCAAAATAAGCCAGACACAAAAAGACATATAGTTCACGATTCCATTTATATGAAATACCTAGAATAGGTAAATTCATAGAGACAGAAAATAGATTAAAGGTTACTAGTAGAAAGTTATTGCTTAATGGGTAGTGTTTCTGTTTAGTGTAGTAAAAAAGTTCTGGAAATAAGTAGTGGTAATGGCTGCACAATACTGTGTACGTAATTAATGCCACTGAATTACACACCTAAATATAGTTAAAATGGCAAATTTTATGTCATACGCATTTGTCCCCAGTAAATATATATCAAGAACAATATGAAATAAATAATTAGTATGAGAGTTCATGTACTATATTCTTATTTATGGATCCTTTATTGATTTTTAAAAAATCAGCAGACATATACTGTTGATTCACATGCAATCTACTGCAAGTGAAATCTTTGCAAATCCCTTTCTGTTTTATCGACTCACTGCTGGTTGCTACCTCTTATCAATTTCCCATCCCTTCAAGGTATCTGTTTCCTTAGTATATTGATCCTCATTGCATTTATTTCTAACCTCTTTTACCTGACCAAGAGATGTTAAATTTTTAACCAACAATAAATAATTTCTGAAGATGCCTCTGGATTTAATGAACACTTACAATGTTATCTCTGTTATAGATAAGATAAAAATAAGTAGACAGCTTCAAGACAGACTGACTGTCAGGTCCACACTACCTGATGACGCACTACATATGGTGGGGAGGTAGAGGAAGGGGCAAATATTGAAACAACCATTTGTTTTCTGACTTAAAAAATTGAATTGAAGTAGGAACTTCAATTAGAACTCCAGATTTTGATATGTGCGAAATGTGTGCATGCCTGTGTGTAGGAGGATAACTCATTTGGTTTGGACATATTATGTTGTAGGTTCTTTTAAAGCATTTTTGAGATATCCTTAATTGTCTAATATTGTGTAAGCAATTACACTTCCAAGTCTGAACCTCAGAGAATTCTGGATGAGAGACCTAAGTGAAGATTCCATTGGCATATAGATCATAAAGTCATAGGTATGAATGATATGGCTTAGGGAGAAAATTTAGAATAAGGAAAGGAGATGAAAAGAAAGAAGAACAGAGAAAAAGGATGGGGGGAGTCTGTGACTATTCACTGAGGAACTCCAATATTTAATGTCTGGATGATGAAGATGAGCCAGCAAAAAGAGACAGAGAAGTAGTTATTAGAAGCATGATAAACAACTAGGCCCAGAGAGCAATACAAGCTGAAGAAACAGAAGATTTTCAAGAACTAAGGGGTCAATGGAGTCACCCACATCTAAGTGGTCAAGTTGAGGACTAAAATATGTCCACTGGATTTCATAACCCAGAGGTCATTGGTGACTTTACAAAGAGTTATTTATGTGGTAAGATGGGGTAGGAAACCAAATTGAAATGGGTTGAGTGGTGATTAGGAAGTGGAGTTAGAGGATATAGACAATTATAAACAAGAGAAGATAAGAGTGATGGCAACTAGTGTGCTAGTGGTAAAGGAAAGTTTTTGTTGTTTTTAGCTGATATCCTTCATCTTTTGAATAACACTCCAACTGTAATTTTATTCTTTTCTGTCTAAATATCTCTCTTCCCTTCCAAGACAATCCTTACCCAATTCTTTCTATTTCTTCTAGGATAAATAGCATTTATCAACTATTTACCATATACGAGCTTGTTATAAACACAGAAATGTCAGATTTGTTGCAATTCTAGCACATCTCTTTGTACCATTAATTTTTCATTTATTGCTGTTTCTTTTTAACATAGCTGAATGAAGTCTTGTTAAGATGTGTGTTTGTTATTTTGCATTTACATAGTTGATATGGTTTGGCTGTGTCCCCACCCAAATCTCATCTTGAATTGTAGTTTCCATAATTCCCATGTGTTGTGGAAGGGGCCTGGTGGGAGATAACTGAATCATGGGGGCAGTTTCCCCCATATACTGTTCTCATGGTACTGAATAAGTCTCATGAGATCTGATGGTTTTATAAGGGGAAGCCCTTTTTTGCTTTGCTCTCATTCTCTCTCTTGCCTGCTGCGATGTAAGACATGCCTTTTGCCATGATTGTGAGGCCTCCCTGGCCACGTGTAACTGTTAGTCCGTTAAATCTCTTTTCCTTTATAAATTACCCAGTCTCAGGTATGTCTTTAACACAGCTTAAAAATGGACTAATACAGTAAATTGGCACTGGGAGAGTAGGGTGCTGCTGTAAAGATACCCAAAAATGTGAAAGCGACTTTGGAACTGGGTGACAGGCAGAGGTTGGAACGGTTTGGAGGGCTTAGAAGAAGATACAAAAATGTGGGAAAGTTTGGAACTTCCTAGAGACTTGTTGAATGGCTTTGATCAAAATGCTGATAATGATGTGGACACTGAAATCCAGGTTGAGGTTGTCTCAGATGGAGATGAGGAACTTGTTGAGAACTAGAGTAAAGGTAACTATTACTATGTTTTAGCAAGGAGACTGGTGACATTTTGCCCCTGCCCTGGAGATTTGTGGGACTTTGAACTTGAGGGAGATGATTTAGTGTATCTGATGGAAGACATTTCTAAGCAGCAAAACATTTAAGACATGACTTAGGTGCTGTTAAAAGCATTCAGTTTTAAAAGGGAAACAGAGCATAAAAGTTTGGAAAATTTGCAGCCTTATGAAGAAAGAAAAACCCATTTTCTGAGGAGAAATTCAAGCCAGCTGCAGAAATTTGCATAAGTAAAGAGGAGCCAAATGTTAATTGCCAAGACAATGGGGAAAATGTCTCCAGGGGATTTCACAGAACTTTGTGGCAGCCCCTCTCATTGCAGGCCCATAGGCCTAGGAATTAAAAATGGTCGGCTGGGCCCATGGCCCCCCTGCTATGTGCAGGCTAGGGAGTTGGTGCTCTGTGTCCCAGCAACTCTAGCCATGGCTAAAAGGGGCCAAGGTACAAATTGGGCTGTGGCTTCAGTGGGTGCAAGCCCCAAGCCTTGGCAGTTTCCACGTGGTGTTGAGCCTGTGGGTGCACAGAAGTCAAGAATTGAGGTTTGAGAACCTCAACTTAGATTTCAGAGAATGCATGGAAATGCCTGGATGCCCAGGCAGAAGCCTGCTGCATGGATGGAGACCTCATGAGAACCTCTGCTAGAGCAGCGCAGAAGAAAAATGTGGGGTTACAGCCCCCACACAGAGTTCTCACTGGGGCACTGCCTAGTGGAGCTGAGAGAAGAAGACCATCATCCTCCAGACCCCAGAATGGTAGATCCACTGACAGCTTGCCCTGTGCACCTGGAAACGCTGCATACACTCAACACTAGGCCGTGAAAGCAGCCAAGAGGGAGGCTGTCACTGCAAAGCAACAGGGGCAGAGCTGCCCAAGGCCATGGGAACCCACCTCTTGTGTCACCATGACCTGGATGTGAGACATGGAGTCAAAGGAGATCATTTTGGAGCTTTAAGATTTTACTGCCCCACTGGATTTTGGATTTGCGTGGGGCCTGTACCCCCTTTGTTTTGACCAATTTCTCCCATTTGGAATGGCTGTATTTACCCAATGCCTGTACCTCTATTGTATCCAGGAAGAAACTAACTTGCTTTTGATTTTACAGGCTCATAGATGGAGGGGACTTGCCTTGTCTCCGATGAGACTTTGGACTCTGGGCTTCTGAGTTAATGCTGAAATGAGTTAAGACTTTAGGGAACTGTTAGGAAGGCATGATTGGTTTTGAAACGTGAGAACATGAGATTTGGGAGGGTCCAGGGGTGGAATGATATGGTTGGGCTATGTCCTCACCGAAATCTCATCTTGAATTGTACCTCCTGTAATTCTCATGTGTTATTGGAGGAACTTGGTGGGAGATAATTAAATAATGGGGGCTGTTTCCCCCATGCTGTTCTCATGGTAGTGAATAAGTCTCATGAGACCTGATGGTTTTATAAGTGAAAACCTCTTTTGCTTGGCTCTCATTCTCTCCTGTCTGCTGCCAAGTAAGACATGCCTTTCACCTTCTGCCATGATTGTGAGGCCTCCTCAGCCACGTGGAACTGTGAGTACATTAAAATTCTTTTCCTTTATAATTACCCAGTCTTGGGTTGTCTTTGTCAGCAGTGTGGAAACTGACTAATAAAATAGCTTCTTGGAAATAATGATCTGAAAATCTATATTTTGTATATTTCAAGTGTTTTAACATGATTTAATTAATGTTGAAGGTTGTAGAGGCACTTAAAATTAATATTATGAATAAGAGTATTTGTTGATTTGAAAATATTTAGGCTTATACACTATTGAAAAAGTATTGGCACTGTAGCAAATGTTAGAGAAGATTATGTCAGTTGTATTATTCTTCTCCCAGTGATTGATAATAATTAAAGGATTAATAATTGGGCAGGTTGAGTAGACAAGTCTGCATATTGATATTTTTCAGTAAATTATAGTGTTCCTTGAAAAGGTAAATTATTTTTTATATATTCTTGAGTCTTAGTTATCACATATCATATGTTATCACCAAACAAGAAAACTATTTTCATGAATGAACACTGGTCTTATGGTTACGCAAAGTAAATAGATAGATAGATTATAGAACATATTTTTGTTTGGGATATTTCTTCCTTAAGAAATTTCTTTTCTCTGCATAGAAATAATGTGGAATAAACATATCACTTAATCACATTAAATCAATTCTAATAAGCTGTTTAGGTTGTTTTAAATATATATTCTGGTAAATATAATTAGCATCCCTAGAAATAGTAGAGGAAAATGAAAGGTATTTTTCAATAAGCAATAAGCTTATATATGAAAATAATAAAAGTTCTCAAACAGTGAGTTTAATACTGGCAGTTGCTCAAAAGCAGGTGAGAGTAATAGTAGCTAACAGTTGCTGGGTACTTAGTATTCACCAAGCACTTTATTGTATTTGTATATCTACACCCTCCTAATGAAGCAAGAACTATTATTATCCCCATTGCATTGATGGCAACTGAAGCTCAGAAAAGGGCACATTGCTAACAGTAGCACAGGGATTTCATCTTAAATCTCTTTTACTTCAAAGTGTGGCTTTTCACCTCTATGCTTTAATAACATTGACAATCAAAACCGATATGGGTTTCTACACAGATTTACTTTTTACTTGAGAACAATATTGAATAAAATCTGGAAATTGTGTGTGTGTGTGTGTGTGTGTGTGTGTGTGTGTGTGTGTGTGATAGCCCTTAACCAATAATAAACATCTTTTCTCTTTAAAGCACAAAACCCAAAAGAAAATATAAAATAAACAACTCAGATTGTAGAGAACAGGAATATAGCCCTTGATCCAAAAGAATCATATTATGTTATATGAAAATAAAGTTTGGATAATATTACCTGTTTCTGTGGCAGATAATTTTGCTTTATCAGTATAATAGTTAACATTAAATTCTGACAATATATTTGGAATAAATAAAATATAAATTAAAAATATAAAAATGCAAGGATGATAAGGAAGAAGACAAGGATGCCCACTCTCTCTACTGCTATTCCATATAACACTGAGAGTCCTAGCCAAAGCAATTCACCAAGGAAAAGAAAAAAAAAGGGCATCCAAATTGCAAAGAATAATGTAAAATGGTCTTTGTTTACAGATGACATAATCCTATATATATATATATAACTCTAAAGAATTCACCAAAACTAATGAGCAAATTCACTAAAATTGCAGGATATCAAATCAACATACAAAAATTACTTGAGTTTCTACACTCTAATGATGAATAAGTTAAGAAAACAATTCTGTTTACAGTAGCATCTAAAAGAATAAAATACTTGTAAATAAACTTAAACAAGGAGGTAAAAGTTCTATATACTGAACACATAAAACATGGATAAAAGAAATTATAGAAGACACAAATAAGTGAAATAATAAAGTGTCAAAATGTCAATACTACCAACTGATAGTTATAAGATAAACAAGTCCTGAGGCTCTCATGTAAAGCATGGGTGATGATGAATGTGTTAATTGATATTATTGTGATAAACATCAAACAATGTATATGTATATCAAATCATCACACTATA
Organism: Homo sapiens; assembly: GCF_000001405.40. Classification (NCBI taxonomy): domain Eukaryota; kingdom Metazoa; phylum Chordata; class Mammalia; order Primates; family Hominidae; genus Homo; species Homo sapiens. The sequence continues at coordinate 192,114,957 of NC_000002.12, forward strand.
TAGCTGACTATATATAATCTTTGTCAACTAAATATTTTTTTAAAGTCCATACTACCCAAAGTGATCTACAGATTCAATGCAATCCCTATCAAAATTTGAATGGCATTTTTCTCACAGGTAAAAAAATTCCTAAAATCCATATGGAGCCACAAAAGTTTCTAATTAGCTAAAGCAACCTTGAGTAAGAAAAAATGAAACTGAAGGCATCATATTACCTGACTTCAAAGTATACTACAAAGCTATGGTAATCAAAACAACATGGTAGTGGCATAAAAAGAGACATATAGATCAATAGAACAGAATAGAAAGCCAAGAAATAAACCTATGTATATAAGACAAACTAATCTTCAGCAAAAGCTCCAAGAATACACAAAATGGATTAAAGACTTAGACATAAGACCTGAAACAGTAAAATTCCTACAAGAAAACATCAGGGAACAGCTGTATGACATCAATCTTGGCATCTTGGCAATTATTTTTTGGATAGAACACCAAAAGCACAGGCAACAAAAGTCAGATAAACACGTGGAATTACATCAAACAAAAAAGTTTCTACAGAGCAAATGAAACAATCAACAAAGTGAAAAGCAACATATGGAGTGGGAGAAAATATTTGCCAGCCACGTATATGAGAAGGGGTTAATATTCAAAATATATAAGGAACTCTACAACTCAATAGCAAAAATCAAAAACAAACCCCCCAAAAAACTCAATCAAAATATGGGCAAAGGCCATCATTTATTCGAAAGCTTACATCTAAATGGTCAACAGTTATATGAAAAGGTGATTAACATCACTAATCAGGGAAATGCAAATGAAAAACACAATGAGTATCACCTCACGTCTGCTGGGATGGCTATTATAAAAAAGTCAAAAGATAAGTGTTGCCAGGGATGTGGGGAAAAGGGAACTCTTATAGACTGTTGGTGGAAACTTAATTTGGTGCAGACATTATGGAAAAATAGTATGGTGGTTCCTAAAAAAATAAAAATGAACTACTATATGATCCATCAATCTGTTCTTCTGGGTATATACCAGAGGAAATTAAACCACCACCTCATAAACTATCTGCACTTCCATGTTCATTACAGCATTATTCACAGTAGACAAGGCATGGAAACAACTGAAGTGTCCATCAACAGGTGAATGGATAAAGAAATTGTGATACACATAAACACAATGAAATATTTTTTTCAGACTTAAAAAGAAGAAAATCTTGCCATTTGCAACAATATGGATGAACCTTGAGACAATTATGCCTAGTGAAATAAGCTATACACAGACAAATACTATATAATCTCATATGTGGAATCTAAAGAGTCAAACTCATGGAAACTGAGAGCAGAGTGTGATTACGGAGTGGGGAGAGATACTGAGGAAATGGGGAGATGTTGGTCAAAGAGTACAAATTTTGGTTTATAAGATGAATAAGTTCTAGAGACAAAATGTACAGCATCGTGAGTATACTTAATAATAATGTATTGTATACGTGAAACTTGCTAAGACAGAGTAAATCACAAGATTTGCCTAGTGTTATTTAGTAAGCAAAATGAAAATAAATGAATCAATTCAATATATGGTTAAGTTAGTATATTTTGCTAAAAGAATATATACTAATATTAGTCACTGGATATAACCATAAAGGAAATAATTTTGTAGTTTTGTTCAAGTTGTTAACAATCTGAAAAGATTGACAAAACAGCTAAATAATTTTATTTAAAATGTAACTACTTGTATTTTAAAAAGTATTCTCTGAGAGCTGGTCTGAATCTTTGTGAGATGTGAGACCTATGTATTAGAAATCTTTTTATATAAATTAAGACTGCTGCCTTTGTCATGACGTAAGAAATTAAAGAATCAAGATCAGGATTATTAAAAATGCTAAATCTCAGTGCATCATGTTACTTATGATTGCTGATAAGAGTTTGTAAACCTTTTAAGCAAGAGATCAAACATCTATGGCTCAATAGTCATTCAGAACAATGACATCTTATTTATATAGCTATTTTTTCAAAAACGTATTTTTCTTATTTTCATTGTTATCTAACAGCACCATTTTAATAAGTACTGCTGTATATATTTTCAATAGATGTTTGATATTTGTAATGTTTTTGACCAATTATTTTCTTGACAAATGATACCTTAAAATGTGATTACTGATAGATGGAGGCTATAACAGAATGTCTGTAATCAGATGTAGTAAAAAGACTGTTTCAGAAATCTTCCAAAAGCACAGTGCTCTCTCAGAGTTATGAATAGCTACCTTTAAGGATAATTTTCAGAAACTATACGTGATACTAGAATTTATTTCTGAGACCTATAATCAACTCAATGATAAGTAGACTTAAAATTATTTAATATCATACTGGTATATACTGTTATGTGCTCACATAAATTTGGCATAAAAATTTAAAATACTGGTAGTAGGTTAACTACTAGGTAGAAGTAAAAGATTCCTCAAGTGAGTAAGATGGTAATTTATTTAATGGGATCCAAATAGAACACTGGGGAAAGGAAAAACAATGAGTGAGAAGTACTTAAGTTAAAAAGAAAATTTTTTGTTTCTGAGGAAGGAGAATAGGGTCTGGAGGCAGAGAACCTAAGGCTGATTAAGGCTAGCTTCCTAGAACTCCAAACTCCAAAATGAAAACTCCAACTTTCCATGCCCAAGTAACAAAAGGACCATATGTGACTCTTTTTCCACCTCCCCACCCCCCACTTTTCTGCATGGCAGATGAAAGGACCTCTGATTGGTTTCTATCTCACAACCAATCAGACTGGTCCCAGGCCAAGTCTTCATTTGCATAGAAGTATAACTTTGTAACATCACTTCAGCCTCTGATTGCTGATCACTATTTCATTTACATAGGGTGTACACTAAGTAACCAATGGGAAACCTCTAGAGGGTGTTTAAACCCCAGAAAATTCTATAACCAGTGCTCTTGAACCACTTGCTCAAGCCCGCTCCCACTCTGTGGAGTGTACTTTTGTTTCAATAAATCGGTGCTTTTCTTTCATTGCTTTGTTTGTGGGCTTTACCTAATTCTTTGTTCCAAATGCCAAGAATCTGGATACCCTCCACTGGTAACAGTTCCATTAATTAAAAAAAAAAATAGATTTGGAATAAAATTAATCTACTTGAGAGACATTTGTTTTTATTTCCTTATGATTTACTCCATAAAGGTAATGACTTTCAGTCTCAATTTTGTAAGCTTCTCAGTGATGTTCTAATCAAAATGGAAGTTTTTTTAGCAAGAATTTTAGACTAGAGATTTTTTGGTAACAGATGGATATGCCAACAGATGTGTTTGATCCTCTTCAATTGACTACCTACAGCAACTGCCAGTTTTTGAGAGTTCTGTAAGGATTGTGTTTCTAACAGGCAACCACTTTGCAGTAAAAATTTTGGGAATGATGTAACTACTCCTCCATAATAGCTCTAAAAGAATCAAAGTTTCGACAGAGAAAATTGCTTTGTCTTTAAAAAGTATATATAAGTCACAGTGTGACAAAATGAATTTCCCCTTTCTCCAGCTCTGAAGTGCCCTCCTTGTGTGTTCAGAAATGCCTCTATGGGTGATGTGAAGTGTACAGTAAACAGTGAAGAGATACTTGCCGGTTTAATTACAGAAGTTGTCTCAGGAACTGAGAGTGTATTCAGCACACCTAAATATGAAGGCAGTTTTCAGCTTTTAAAAAATTATAACAATTTGCTACCTGACAAGACAAATTCCTTGAAGACCAAATTTCTTTGTACAGCAGATGTAAAATGTCCATAAAGTAAGTAAATCTGAGCTAGACCTGAGCTGTCCAGATATGAAAATACTTTATATGTAGATTTCCACCTGAGGTCCCATATAATTTTCATAGCCCTTTATTCTGATGCCAATTTCAGAAAGTAATTCACATACATATTTTAAATATATACCAATATTATTGTTATATATTTTACCAAATTATTTAGAAAATAGGTAAGCATACTACTTGACAATACAAGTTCTGAATTGGTGAAAATGTCTCTACTTTATTCTCAGAGCTTATAAATATACCTTTAATAAATACATATTTATTGTTTTGAATGTTTAATCTCTGCTTTTGTTTCTAGAAGTCAGAAAACTTTTTCTGTAAGAAGCCAATGAATAAATATTTTAGGCTTTGTGGGCCAAGGGGCAAAATCAAGTATGTTGTCCAACTACTTATGTGACAAGATACCAAACTAATTTTCACAAATTTGTTATTGATAAAATCCAAAATATAATAGTAAAAATGGAGTGAATATTGTGTAATACAAATCTACTAGTGAGAAAATGAAATTCTTTGGGGAGTATATAACATTTTGCATAATTGAGGTTCAAAGTTAGTATTCTTTATCATTGAAATTAATTGCAAATGTTCTTCTGTAATAAGATTTTGTTTCTTACATCTTTGAATATGTTTTTCCAACCAGATAGGTAGTGCTAAAGACTTACATAAATTCATGAGCATATGATTTTAGTTGAGTATATTTGTCACTTGGAAGGAATTCATAGAATTCCACTAGATTCATCTCTCAATATATGCCTTTTAGCATGTCTTTAAATTGTAGACCAATGACTTCCAATTGAAAGTTAAGTGGAAGCCCACAATCACACAGTTATATGCATTTTAAAATAGAAAAATTTCCTTTGCATTTACTTTGGGGTTTCACCTCAGACAATACATCCCTCATAAATCTGTGTGAGAATGGAGGTTTCATTTCCTGCTTTAACTTTGACAGTACAGGGAGGGAGTTTGTTTCTAATGCAGCTTGATATTACTTGTGATTCAAACAATGTCATCTGTCCTCTAAATGAATTGACAGCAGTGTAGTTTTCACATGTAGGTGTTGTATGCCTTCAATCGTAGGTGGAATTTATTAAGAAACATTATCAACTTTGCTGCAACAGCTAATTTTTAAAGCCAACCTGGGTTAAATTACAGTGGCTGAGCCCTGAACTTGGTCCTGAGTAATTTCTGGACCCTGTTCTAGAGAATAACACAGGAAATTGCTTAAACTGCTCTCTAGTAAATATTATGATAGGAAAAACTGAAATAGACATCTCTTTATCAATTAAGATGGTCCCTAAGTTAAGGAAACAAAAGTTTCCTATGGGTCAAGGCTCAGGGCTTGGCTGGTAGGGCAAATTTCCAAATTTCTACCACCATAAGACAAACCACAGCCCTGCTAAATACCCTAACAGTAGGAGCTATTAGGCTGATTTACTACCCAGACCACTACAACCCTGACTGAACAGAGGACTGGCCTTACATTTTTTTTCTGAAAAGCTATGGCAGACCTTAAGCCAGTTTCAGCCAGTTTGTAGAGGCTGCACACAAACTGTCTTTGGGTCTTATAGTTCACCTTTTCATGGAAAGAGCGAAATTCCACCTCTTTTAATGCTCAAACCCCACCCCACAGTGAACATGGGATGTACATTACATGCATGTTTACCTATTGTGCGTGTGCTCAACACTGCTCATAAATATATACAGCTTTTCCCCTAAACCTGTTGAATATGTATGATACTGGCCCTGTGAGGCATAAAATCCAACTTGTTCTTCCCCTCTCTGAAGAGAGAGCACCTTTGTGCCTTGTGGAGACTTTCTCTTCCCAGCTTGGAAATTGATAACGCCAATAAAACTCTCCTTTCTACCAATTTACCATCCTTGTGGTCTTTTGGGTGACAATGCTTGTTTCTATTTGCCTTGAGCAAAATGTAGAGATCTGTTATAGTATCCACTCTTTCATAAATTTATTGAATAAACATTTTTTTTTTTTTGAGATGGAGTCTCGCTCTGTCGCCCAGGCTGGAGTGCAATGGCACAATCTCAGCTCACCACAACCTCCGCCTCCCAGGTTCAAGCGATTCTCTTGCCTCAGCCTCCCGAATAGCTGGACTACAGGTGGGCGTCACCATGCCCAGCTAATTTTTGTATTTTTAGTAGAGACGGGGTTTCACTATGTTGGCCAGGCTGGTCTGGAACTTCTGACCTTGTGATCCGCCTGCCTCAGCCTCCCAAAGTGCTGGGATTACAGACGTGAGCCACCACACCCAGCCTGAACAAACATTTTTCTAGGGGCCTACTATGTACCTGAACTCTACTAAGTATCAGAGAAGAGGAAAAACAAAACAAAAGAAAACAAAAAAAACAAACATACACCGAGTCTAGTGGGGGAAGGAGACATGTTAGCAGGTAATTCTAACAACACAATCAGCGCTAAGAAGATAGAAGCAAAATGTGCTATAAAGCAGAGGACAGAACCAAATAATTGTAATTTGTCAGATGCCATAGTTTGAAAAGAAACTCCAGATGAGAGGATATCTGGTCTCGGTCATAACAACTATGTAGAAGTTTCTTAGGTCAGGAAAGGAAATTCTGGACAGAGGTCACTTTGTACATAAAGAGCTAGAGGCAGGAAAAGTCCATTGTGAGCCTAGAGAAGGGAGAGCCAGTGGAGACAAAGTAGAAGGAGGGGAAGGAGGAGGTGGAAGGACCAGGCTATAGGGGCAAGATAAGGCTAAACTGGAGTGGTCTTTGGAACTAGGGCTTCAGCTTTTAAATGAAAATATATCATCTGGGTGATCTTAAAATTTAAATTCTGATTCAGTTGGTCATGGCTGGGCCTGCCATTCTGCCTCTGAAAGGAGACTGCAGGTGATGGTAATACTGCTGGTTTTAGGATCACACCTGAATAGCAAGATTCCACACCACACTAAGGGTTTTAGCTCTCATCTGGTCATGGATTAGACAGTTGTCATTTTTCTAGCAGAACAGTAACACAATCAAATTTTGGAATTACAAAGATAAACTCATAGCTCAATGGAGTATAAACTGCCTGTAGGAAACAACAAGCATAGGAGAGAATTGCTGAGAGAAACTTCTCAGAAAAGAAGATTCAGCAAAAAAAATTCTTACAGCATTTATCTTCAGGAAAGAAATGCTGGATGGATAAGGAGTACAAAATTACAGTTAAATATTAGGATTACATTTTAGTGTTCTATAGCATAATAGAGTGACTTTAGTTAACAATAATTTATTGTACATTTTAAAATAGCTGGAAGAGAGAATTTTGAATATTCCCAACTCAAAGAAATAATAAATATTTCAGGTGATGAATATGCCAATTACTATAATTTGATCATTACACTTTATAAACATATCAAGGTGTCATATGTGCCCCATATATATACATAATTATTATTTGTCAAAAAAACTCAATGGAAAAAATATGGCCATACTTCATCCCAACCCCTCTATTCACCAGTGAAAAAGCAAAAACAGAATTTGATTTTCTTAATGCTAAAAAAAGGTACTTAGTAACAGGACTTACTCCAACAGGAAATATACAAGAGAAATATTTTGGCGTGTAATAGCTAACCTCCAGTCTGCTGAAACTGATGTCAGAGGAATTTAGACTCTGCCAATGTAGAAGCTTTATTTTAAGGTTTCAGAAAATATTCAGGTGATAAGTTATGCAGTTTTTCTTTTCTTAAGAATGGGATAGGCCTTTCTCCTTTAGGAATGGCTTAATTCTGCCAAAGAACAATATGATTTTTAAGGTATTTTAAATATGGTGTATGGTACTGCATTATACGGCTTCGGTACTGATCAACGGGGCAATGAAACAGACTGCATTTTACCAAGTCTGTTTATGAAATTAACCGTGCACATCTGCTTGGTCCAAAGACTAATTTAGTGTAGAATAATAAGTAATTAGAAGATTACCTTTATGAAATAAATATGCAGGATAACACTACATATAAATAAAATACCCTGTAATCAATGCCTTTAAAATACTATCAGGCACTAACAGATTGACACAGCTATAATCCTACATTATTCAATGTGATTCAATCATTTATAAATACAGAAAAACATAACAGAATAGCAAAATGTAAAGTGAGAATATAAAAATCAGATTTGAACCAGAAATGCAATTAGGAAGCATATATTAAGATGTATTTGTAATAATAACAAGGCACACAACTTTGGCTCTGAGCTCTATAGCAGCCATGCAATAAAGTTATTTATCTATTTTCATGTGAATATTAAAACAACTTATCCTGTATACCCAATGGGAGAAAAATGAATAAGCCACCACATTGCTGCACTCTAAAATCATATTAAGGAGAAAATTACTTTTCAACCTTTGGCAAGTTGTAGTTCATTCTTGATGTGTTAATGGCTGCTGTTTCATAGTTCAGCTGAAGTAAAAGGATCTACTCTTCAGTGTATTTACTGGGGTGATATTTATGATGTTTGGCAGCATCTGTTTTTCACATTTAGTTATCTTGTGCTGTACTTCTGATATGATGTGCTAATTTGATTTTCTCCTACTTGTTTTGATAAATAAGTTTATGTTTTTTTTCCTAGAGTCAAAAATTGAGGTAATCGATCTAGATTACAAAAACAATTAAAACTGAGTGAACCATGGGAAGTCAATAACACTTAAATCTTTGAAGTTAAAAATATGATTTGTAATGTGTACATAGAATTGGTTTTCATAGTGTAGTCTGCAGTGTCAGGCAAAGATTACATAGTAAATCCAGATGATCTATATTAGGAGGATATATAGGAGTTGCATTATATTTACTATTAGCAAAATAATAGTTTAAAATTGACTTTGCTGCCTTGGCACTGATATTCCACTACAACCCAACATCGGAATCCTTAATGTAAAGTTTCAACATCTGTATCAGTTGCTATTCTCAACTAAAACTTACTCTGTTAAAATCAATATTCTTGTTTATAAATTAGTCCTCTGAGTTATTACAAACCATGATGATGTTTTGAACAAGCTAATGGTCACAATATTGTTAATCGATTTTCCTACTTGGAAAAAAAATGTGCAGATAGCTGCCTCTTATTCACTATTGAGTTGGTTCATTTGTAGACTGATGCTGATTTCATTTTGATTGAGCAGGATTATGAGAAATAAGAAAATGTTTGAATTTTCAACTCACTCCTTTCTGTTGTGACATTTTGTTCTTTCATTCCATCATCTCCATTAGTTTGCCAACTGGCACTGACAGGAGTGCAAAACTACTGCAAATTGTTACTTCAGCAGTACTCTGCCTGCCAAGAACTGATCAGCTGCTTCTCTTAATGCACCTTTCACTCTTTCCTAACTGAAGCAGTCTGAGTCTGCAGTGCTGCTGGGTTACAAATCTCATCCAGAGCATTTGGATTTAATCAATCACCTGATTTCTACCACTTTAAGATAAACATGCATGAATGCAATCATTACAAAAATGAATGTCTAGTCTGAAAATTGGAGGGAATGTGGGTATAGGACCACAGGGGTAAACATTCATGCTCTATTCAATTTATGGTTTCATTTAGACTGATATATCCAACTCTTTCTCAGCCCCCTGTCTCAGCAGTTATAAACAGCATCACCTTTTCTTAACCCAAGAATGTAGTCAAGCTTTTCCCTACAGAAGACATTCTAATGGGGCTCTGAGGGTCACCTGACAAAGGCCTGGCAGAAGTGATGGATGCTCCATTCTTTCTTCTGTGGATCTGGATGCGTTGCTCCTTCTCTGGGTCAAATTAAGACTCCTGAGAGGAATATCTGGATCCCCTATACAGTTGTGAAACTGCCAGGATCTTCTGGATGGATAAGATCAGCAATTATTTCAAATTTATGTGGTCAACCTCAGAGAAACAGACTGTACACTTATAAAAAATTTTCAGATGACAGAAAACACAAATTAGCAGCTAAAAATGGGTTTCCTGGCTGACACCTGGCAAATGGAGTTTAAACATTTAAGGACAGAGGAGTAATTCATACTGATCATAAAACTAAGAGGAAACATTCTTCCAATATTTCAGAGTTTTGTCACAAGCCAAGGGTGCCTCATTTCCATAATTTGTCCTCATTGCTCCTCTACCATGTCCCTTGGAAAGAGTGGGTATTAGTCACTCCGCAAAACTGTTTTGCCTCTTGTCCCCTTTAATTACTTGTCTATTGTATACCCAGAATTAACTCTCCTCCATTGGCTAGCAGAGCCTTATGTTCTCTGTAAAACTCTTATGACCAAACTTCTCCTAAAAGAGGCATTAATTAATTGGGAAAGGATACCACAAAAGATCCATTACCATTCCTCATCCCAAACAACAACACTTGTATGAAATTATATAGAACAGAATTATATTTTTAAAAGTTTTCTCAGCTGGATGGGAAGACATTTGGAATCCAGTGTGTCCCAAAGGTTTGTGAAATTTCCCTTCTTATCTTACATCTAATCGAATATTTTAAACTAGAAGTGAGATCTTAAAATAAACGTTACAGGGAGAAGATAAACAAGTAAAACATACAATTATTTTTAAGCTATTATATAAAGTTCATCTCTGAGTTCAAATAACATTCAGCTCAACTCTAATAAAAATATACTATTTCATAATTTTAAAAAACATATAGAAATATAAATATCTTTGTATTATAAGCAATAATATTGGGTTTTTCCACTTAGACATCTTTTTAACAGATTGATTTTTAAGATCATCAAGAATATCCTTAAATTTAAAGTGAAGCTAACTACTAATTTCATTTAAATTCAAGCAAAAATAAAGTATTTAAGAGAAAGCAGGTTTAATAAAAGTTTGTTTCTATTCACAATAGTAAAGACATGGAATCAATCCAAATGCCCATCAATGATAGACTGGATAAAGAAAATGTGGTACATAAGCACCATGGAATACTATGCAGCTATAAAAAGGATGAGATCATGTCTTTTGCGGGGACATGGATGGAGCTGGAAGCTGTTATCCTCAGCAAACTAACATCGCAGGAACAGAAAACCAAACACTACATGTTCTCAATTATAAGTGGGAGCTGAATGATGAGAAGACGTGGACACATGTTGGGAAACAAGACACACTGGGGCCTGTCAGAGGAATGGCGGGAGGGCAAGCATCAGGAAGAATAGCTAATGATGCTGGGCTTAACACCTAGGTGATGGGTGGATCTGTGCAGCAAATGTCCACGGCACACGTTTACTTATATAACAAACCCGCACATCCTGCACATGTACCCCAGAACTTAAAATAAAAGTTAAAGAAACAAAAGTTTGTTTTTTGAAAATATACCAATAAGTGGATATACTCAAATGCAAGTGAAAAATTCAGTTGATGATTCAGATATTTGAAAAAGATAAAAAGCACATGTATCAACCCAGTGGTAAAAATAATACGCACCATGAATTACCGTTTTCTGAAATATTTTAAAATCTTTGCTCATTACATTTAGTTGCATATTACTTTCTACATAAAATAGATCCTTAATATGCTGTGCTAATTAATGAAGTGATGGGGAAAAGTACAGTCTGAATAACTTACCATTTCTTTTCTATGGAAATGCTTTTAATTGCTAATACATCTGCCAAGTCTATATGATGACAGGTTACATAACAGAAAATATTACAAATTATTTTGATATCTCAAATACATTAAAATATTTGTATAAAGATATTGTATGATATATGTCAGAAAAAAATATCAAGATGTGTAAGGGAACAATAAAACATGACAATTAAAACTGTCAGTCCCAAACTAAAGATACTGACTGTATTTTTTAGGTTTCATGTCACAACTTGACACATTCTAGACACTGCTATGGTAATTACATTTGGTATGAAGGAAGTAAGGCATACTTGCAACTAGAAAGAAGGAGAAATGACTAACACTTAGGATATTTGATGTTTTACATTCATGATCTTGTTCCCTCTGACAGTCATGTTAGGAAACTGAGGCTCAGAGAGACAGGGTAAATTCCTCAAGGTGGTAAAACCTAGGTTGGTTAAACTCCAAAACCTGTCCTTCTTCACTACGTGGAGTTGCCTTCTAACTACAAAAACAAAACAAAACAAACAAACAAACAAACAAAAGCTTGTTTTGGCTGCTGTAAAATAATGCCCTTCCTCCCACTTCAGGCAATTCAAGTATTTCAATATAGAAGTTAATTTTTGCTTTGGGTTTTAGAATTTTGTTGTTTTGCTATGTAACTTAGAACTGATATTTAATTATGTGCCAATATAAGAACAGTAAAGCACTCTTATTTAGACAGCTGTAACACTAAGTACATGAATGAGATTATTAGTGCCAAGCAACTCATCCCTCCACCAGGCTTTCTGACAGATGAGAGTCTGTGGCTCCTCCCCAAGTCATGAAAGAATCTAGTGCACTAATGACATCTGGATCACCTCTGACAATTTTTAAAAGATTCAATGATTCTCTGTCAGCAAGAAGGAAAAACTGACTTGACCTATTGTTCATCAAGGTATAATTTTGTAAATGCTCACAGAAAGCCAAATATTGACTAATAATAGAGCAAATTATACAGGGCTCATTAAATATCACAGGCCACGTAATTCATTGCTGTTTTCTGAGTGAACACTCAATGGTGTTAGAATATTTGCCCTTCTGTCTTTAAGTGTTACCCTTCCTGCCTTCTCTCCTACTTCTCTCTTCTCTAAATCCAAAATGTAAAAATTATTGCATTTGAAAAACATTCAACAAATCAACAATGTAGCTATTTTTTGTTCAAACTGGATGAGAAATCCTCTTTATTTTGGGGAAACCTCACTTGCTGGCATGGAACTATGATTTGGGGCTAACGTTGAAAAATTGTGCTTCAACACATGACAAGAACATGAGCTGACTATGTCTAAAGTCAAAAATTGAGCAACAGTACAATTATGTAACTGTTTGTTTTATGTTAACTGAAAGGCCCAATCTTTGTAGCTTAAATCTTAAATAAGTTAGTTCAATAAGTCGTGACAATTTTAAGTAATAATATTACTTTGTGTGTTATTCTTGCTATCAATGAGTCAAAGCTTAGCAGAAATCCTTAAAACTACGTAAGAAATGTTCTATCTACTCAACTTACACTATTACATTCTTCTAATCTTAATTTTAATTTTTATGTGCTACATAACTCCTCTTTGGAAACCCATTAATTTAAAGTTTTGAGATATGTAGTTCTGGGCTCTTTTGTAGCTTTTCTTAGCCCTAAGTCACACAATTCTACTGTGCAAGGTAGTGATAATTAATATTTCCAATCTTGATTTGCCATTGCAACTTTAGATTTTAGGGCACTGTAGTTTTTAGTATTTTACATAAGTTCAGCCTTTCACTCATTAAACTTAGGTCCAAATAAATTGCATCTGTCACAATTTTTTTAAAATTTGCCATTACAGATAAAGCCTACAATTTTCAAGAAGCTAAAAATGCTATTTTTGCTCAATGTCTATACATATATTTATTTTCAGTTTTTCCAAATCTACTTTTATACTATGTAAGAATTGACAGGTGAGGTAACAAATCAGCATTAGTCGAATATAAGAATATTCTTAGTTTCTAATTAGACTATTGACAAACAAAATATTGCAATAAGTCACTGTAGCCTTCAAATTTACTTTTAATATTGCCTATTACAAACATGTCTGAAATGATTTTCCTTTATAAATTCTTGCACAGATCTAACATTTTGACAAAAGAAAGGACATCTTAAAAATGAATTCCTGAATGTACGGATAGAAAATGAACATCAGAACAAGTGAAGTGTTGCCTTCTTATCGCAAGAAAAGAGTAGACAAACAGTATCTATTTTAATTCTTGTGCAACTCACTTTTAATAGGAAGAAAGTGCTGGAACAGTCAGCTTTAGTAAGGCTGCAAGTTTTAGAAGCTTATCAGGTATAATATGTTAATCTTTAAAAACAGTATGATGAAGTCTGAAGCTTTCAGAGAGATGAGACACTGATAATGGGCCTGTTTAAAACAACATAACGAAAACCTTGATTGTGGGTTGCCAAGCAGCTTCCAAATGTTGAAAGAGAAAGCAGTTTCTTCAAAGGAGGCTGTTGCTCACAGAAAATGCATTTTCATTCCAAGTGCTGCAGCGGCGCATTTTGGCTTCCCCCGGGGAGGTAGCAAAACTCTCCAGTGTGTGGCACATGTGGTGCCTTTTGTGTTACTTGTGCATCTGATGTATACAACCACAGTGCACTTTTCAGTAGCCACACATTTCCTCTGGGACATGCCTGGGTGCCCCATAGGAGAGTGTTGAGCACCCAGCAATCTTAACACCCCCTGGCCTGGGGCCCCTAAATTAGGTATTCTAGCTCTGGTGCCAGTTTATGTTTCTGTGTACCTACATGGCCCAAGGCTGAAAAAATGACTAGGAATCCTGGGATCCTCGTGCAAATCTTCGAATTGGTTCCCTGAGAGTTCCTCAAGCACATATTCTGGATTGATTTTCAGTTTTTTAAAAATGTCCACTAACTATCTCATTTAAATAGCTTTTGTCATCTTGAAAATATAACCCACGGGTTATTTTATAAGAGTAGAAAGCAGTATACTCTGACACATTTTACCAGCATGTTTAATAGAAAAAAAAAAAAAGAGCAATATCCTCAGAAAAATACCTTTCTGACCATGATGTACATAGTTTTTGGGCCATCCAAGGAAAAAAGACACTCTTAGAGGGATGGGTTTTAATACTACTTTAGTTTATGTCAACCTGAAAAATTCCCCATGCAGTGGAACAAGAGTTTGAGGACCCCACATGCATTCTTACATTTCAATTCTAAGATGAATCCAGATTTCAGAAATATTAAATATGAAAATAGTGCAGCATAGAATTAAGGAAATGCCATATTTATGGTGAGGGAGTTGCTGATGTTGCTCCAGGACTTCCCAGTTTGAGGATTTGGACTAAATGTGTACATCTGTGGGAGCAAGGTCCTTTGTATATGTTTGTGTGACTAGCAAGCAAGATTGAGGCCCACAACACTGCATAATCTACAGTACATACATCATAAAACAGTCCTTTAATTTTACTTGTGGAATTATTTGTCATGCCAAGTCTTTGTTTTTAGTCATTTACATTTGTATTTCTTACCGCAGTTTTTCTAAAAACAAATTAACAAAGACGAATATTGAAATAATTCGCCTGACCCTAGCATAGGTCACTTAGCTTAATTTAACTGCAACTGTATTATTTTCCCTAAATATAAAACAAATAGATGCAAAATGTCTATAAGTGATTTAGATTGTATTGCACTGTGATTTGTAGTTTTTAAAGACTAAAACTGTCATTTAATTATTACTTTTTGTTCTGTGAGCGTACGTATTAACAATCTTAATTTGTCTAGTGAAATAAGGAATTAAACAGTTACTATTATTTCTTCTTCCAGGATTGCAAATATAAAATAATTTAAACTAAAGAAAAAAATAAAAGTAAGAACTCAGATTTTTTTCCTAAATTTCATGCTATGCTGTTCCTTTTTCCTTCTTCTCCCCTTCCTCCTCCTTCTCCTCTGTCTCCTCTTTCTTCTAATAATGCAATCTCCATAATTTTTAGATGAAAATTTTAGAGTTTTCACATAATACCTTAGAAAGAGTATGTCAGGCCTCTGAGCCCAAGTCAAGCCATCGCATCCCCTGTGACTTGCACATATACACCCAGATGGCCTGAAGTAACTGAAGAATCACAAAAGAAGTGAAAAGGCCCTGCCCCGCCTTGACTGATGACACTCCACCATTGTGATTTGTTCCTGCCCCACCTTAACTGAGCGATTAACCCTGTGAATTTCCTTCTCCTGGCTCAGAAGCTCCCCCACTGAGCACCTTGTGACCCCCGCCCCTGCCCACCAGAGAACAACCCTCTTTGACTGTAATTTTCCATTACCTTCCCAAATCCTATGAAACGGCCCCACCCCTATCTCCCTTCGCTGACTCTCTTTTCAGACTCAGCCCGCCTGCACCCAGGTGAAATAAACAGCCATGTTGCTCACACAAAGTCTGTTTGGTGGTCTCTTCACACGGACACGCATGAAATTTGGTGCTGAAACCTGGGAAAGCAGAGAAGGGGTAGAGACAAGGAGAGAAGGGGTTGGGGTACTTGCCCCAAAACTCCGGCGCTGGTCACGGACTGGGAAGGCAGCCTTCCCTTGGTGTTTAATCATTGCAGGGACGCCTGATTATTCACCCACGTTTCAAGGGTGTCAGACCACGCAGGGACGCCTGCCTTGGTCCTTCACCCTTAGCAGCAAGTCCCGCTTTTCTGGGGAAGGGGCAAGTACCCCAACCCCTTCTCTCCTTGTCTCTACCCCTTCTCTGCTTTTCTGGGAAAAGGGCAAGTACCCCAACCCCTTCTCTCCTTGTCTCTACCCCTTCTCTGCTTTTCTGGGAAAAGGGCAAGTACCCCAACCCCTTCTCTCCTTGTCTCTACCCCTTCTCTGCTTTTCTGGGGAAGGGGCAAGTACCCCAACCCCTTCTCTCATTGTCTCTACCCCTTCTCTGCTTTTCTGGGGAAGGGACAAGTACCCCAACCCCTTCTCTCCTTGTCTCTACCCCTTCTCTGCTTTTCTGGGGAAGGGGCAAGTACCCCTCAACCCCTTCTCCTTCACCTTTAGCGGCAAGTCCCGCTTTTCTGGGGGAAGGGCAAGTACCCCTCAACCCCTTCTCCTTCACCCTTAGTGGCAAGTCCCACTTTTCTAGGGGGCAAGAACCCCCAATCCCTTATTTCCGCACCCCGACCTCTTATCTCTGTGCCCCAATCCCTTATTTCCACACCCCAACCTCTTATCTCTGTGCCCCAATCCCTTATTTCCGTGCCCCAACACTTTCTCTGCTTTTCTGGAGGGCAAGAAACCCCCATCCCTTCTCCGTGTCTCTACTCTTTTCCCTGGGCTTGCCTCCTTCACTATGGGCAAGCTTCCACCTTCCATTCCTCCTCCTTCTCCCTTAGCCTGTATTCTTAAGAACTTAAAACCTCTTCAACTCTCACCTGACCTAAAATCAAAGCGTCTTATTTTCTTGTGCAATGCCGCTTGACCCCAATACAAACTCGACAGTAGTTCCAAATAGCCGGAAAACGGCACTTTCAATTTTTCCATCCTACAAGATCTAAATAATTCTTGTCATAAAATGGGCAAATGGTCTGAGGTGCCTGACGTCCAGGCATTCTTTTACACATCAGTCCCTTCCTAGTCTCTGTGCCCAGTGCAACTCGTCCCAAATCTTCCTTCTTTCCCTCCCGCCTGTCCCCTCAGTCCCAACCCCAAGCGTCACTGAGTCTTTCTAATCTTCCTTTTCTACAGACCCATCTGACCTCTCCCCTCCTCGCCAGGCCAAGCTAGGCCCCAATTCTTCCTCAGCCTCCGCTCCTCCACCCTGTAATCTTTTTATCACCTCCCCTCCTCACACCTGGTCTGGCTTACAGTTTCGTTCTGTGACTAGCCCTCCCCCACCTGCCCAGCAATTTACTCTTAAAAAGGTGGCTGGAGCCAAAGGCATAGTCCAGGTTAATGCTCCTTTTTCTTTATCCCAAATCAGATAGCATTTAGGCTCTTTTTCATCAAATATAAAAACCCAGCCCAGTTCATGGCTCGTTCGGCAGCAACCCTGAGACGCTTTACAGCCCTAGACCCTAAAAGGTCAAAAGGCCATCTCATTCTCAATATACATTTTATTACCCAATCTGCTCCTGACATTAAATAAAACTCCAAAAAATAGATTCTGGCCCTCAAACCCCACAACAGGACTTAATTAACCTCACCTTCAAGGTGTACAATAATGAAAAAAAAAAGTTGCAATTCCTTGCCTCCACTGTGAGACAAACCCCAGCCACATCTCCAGCACACAAGAACTTCCAAACGCCTGAACTGCAGCGGCCAGGCGTTCCTCCAGGCCCGCTTCCCCCAGGAGCTTGCTACAAGTGCCAGAAATCTGACCACCAGGGCAAGGAATGCCTGCAGCCCAGGATTCCTCCAAGCCATGTCCCATCTGTGCAGGACCTCGCTGAAAATCGGAGTGTTCAACTCACCTGGCAGCCACTCCCAGAGCCCCTGGAATTCTGGCCCAAGGCTCTTTGACCGACTCCTTCTCGGCTTAGTGGCTGAAGACTGACGCTGCCTGATCACCTCGAAAGCCCCGTAGACCATCACAAACGCCAAGCTTCGAGTAACTCTCACAGTGGAAAGTAAGTCCGTCCCCTTAATCAATACGGAGGCTACCCACTCCACATTACCTTCTTTTCAAGGGCCTGTTGCCCTTGCCTCCGTAACTGTTGTAGGTATTGACGGCCAGGCTTCTAAACCTCTTAAAACTCCCCAACTCTGGTACCAACTTAGACAATACTCTTTTAAGCACTCCTTTTTAGTTATCCCCACCTGCCCAGTTCCCTTATTAGGCGGAGACACTTTAACTAAATTATCTGCTTCCCTGACTATTCCTGGGCTACAGCTGCATCTCATTGCCGCCCTTCTTCAGAATCCAAGGCTTCATTTGCGTCCTCCTCTTGTATCCCCCCACCTTAACCCACAAGTATAAGATACCTCTACTCCTTCCTTGGTGACCGATCACGCACCCCTTACCATCTCATTAAAACCTAATCACCCTTACCCCACTCAATGCCAATATCCCATCCCACAGCATGCTCTGAAAGGATTAAAACCTGTTATCACTCGTCTGCTACAGCATGGCCTTTTAAAGCCTATAAACTCTCCTTACAATTCCCCCATTTTAGCTGTCCTAAAACCAGACAAGCCTTACAAGTTAGTTCAGGATCTATGCCTTATCAACTAAATTGTTTTGCCTATCCACCCCATGGTGCCAAACCCATATACTCTCCTATTCTCAATACCTCCCTCCACAATCCGTTATTCTGTTCTGGATCTCAAACGTGCTTTCTTTACTACTCCTTTGCACGGGTCATCCCAGCCTCTCTTCGCTTTCACTTGGACTGACCCTGACACCCATCAGGCTCAGCAGATTACCTGGGCTGTACTGCCGCAAGGCTTCACAGACAGACCCCATTACTTCAGTCAAGCCCAAATTTCATCCTCATCTGTTACCTATCTCGGCATAATTCTCGTAAAAACACACGTGCTCTCCCTGCTGATCGTGTCCGATTAATCTCCCAAACCTCAATCCCTTACAAAACAACAACTCCTTTCCTTCCTAGGCATGGTTAGTGCAGTCAGAATTCTTACACAAGAGCCAGTACCCCACCCTGTAGCCTTTCTGTCCAAACAACTTGACCTTACTGTTTTAGCCTAGCCATCATGTCTGCGTGCAGCGGCTGCCACTGCTTTAATACTTTTAGAGGCCCTCAAAATCACAAACTATGCTCAACTCACTCTCTACATTTCTCATAACTTCCAAAATCTATTTTCTTCCTCACACCTGACGCATATACTTTCTGCTCCCTGGCTCCTTCAGCTGTACTCACTCTTCGTTAAGTCCCACAATTACCATTGTTCCTGGCCCGGACTTCAATACAGCCTCCCACATTATTCCAGATACCACACCTGATCCCCATGACTGCATCTCTCTGATCCACCTGATGTTCATCCCATTTCCCCACATTTCCTTCTTCCCTGTTTCTCACCCTGATCACGCTTGATTTATTGATGGCAGTTCCACCAGGCCTAATCGCCACACACCAGCAAAGGCAGGCCATGCTATAATACAAGCCACTAGCCCGCCTCTTAGAACCTCTCATTTCCTTTCCATCGTGGAAATCTATCCTCAAGGAAATAACTTCTCAGTGTTCCATCTGCTATTCTATCTGCTATTCTACTACTCCTCAAGGATTATTCAGGCCCCCTCCCTTCCCTACACTTCAAGCTCGAAGCTTTGCCCCTGCCCAGGACTGGCAAATTAGCTTTACTCAACATGCCCTGAGTCACAAAAACTAAAATGCCTCTTAGTCTAAGTAGACACTTTCACTAGATAAGTAGAGGCCTTTCCTACAGGGTCTGAGAAGGCCACCGCAGCCATTTCTTCCCTTCTGTCAGACATAATTCCTCAGTTTAGCCTTCCCACCTCTATACAGTCTGATAACAGACCAGCCTTTATTAGTCAAATCAGCCAAGCATTTTTTCAGGCTCTTAGTATTCAGTGACAGACTAATGGTCTATTAAAAACACACCTCACCAAGCTCAGCCACCAACTTAAAAATGACTGGACAATACTTTTACCACTTTCCCTTCTCAGAAGTCAGACCTGTCCTCAGAATGCTACAAGCTACAGCCCATTTAAGCTCCTGTATAGATGCTCCTTTTTATTAGGCCCCAGTCTCATTCCAGACACCGGACCAACTTAGACTGTGCCCCCAAAAAAACTTGTCATCCCTACTATTTTCTGTCTAGTCATACTCCTATTCTCCGTTCTCAACTATTCATATATGCCCTGCTCTTGTTTACACTGCCAGTTCACACTGTTTCTCCAAGCCATCACAGCTGATATCTCCTCGTGCTATCCCCAAACGGCCACTCTTAACTCTTGAAGTAAATAAATAATCTTTGCTGGCAGGACTATGCTGAATCTCCTTAGGCACTCTCTAATCAGATGTCCTAGGTCCTCCCAATTCTTAGACCTTTTATACCTGTTTTTCTCCTTCTCTTATTCCATTTAGTTTTTCAATTCATACAAAACCGTATCCAGGCCATCACCAATAATTCTAAATGACAAATGTTTCTTCTAACAACCCAACAATACCACCCCTTTCCACAAAATCTTCCTTCAGCTTAATGTCTCCCAGTCGAGGTTCCCATGCTGCCCCTAATCCCGCTTGAAGCAGCCCTGAGAAACATCGTCCATTCTCTCTCCATACCACCCCCCAAAAATTTTCGCCGCCCCAACACTTCAACACTATTTTATTTTTCTTATTAATATAAGAAGGCAGGAATGTCAGGCCTCTGAGCCCAAGCCAAGCCATCGCATCCCCTGTGACTTGCACATATACACCCAGATGGCCTGAAGTAACTGAAGAATCACAAAAGAAGTGAAGAGGCCCTGCCCCGCCTTAACTGATGACACTCCACCACTGTGATTTGTTCCTGCCCCACCTTAACTGAGTGATTAACCCTGTGAATTTCCTTCTCCTGGCTCAGAAGCTCCCCCACTGAGCACCTTGTGACCCCCGCCCCTGCCCACCAGAGAACAACCCCCTTTGACTGTAATTTTCCATTACCTTCCCAAATCCTATAAAACGGCCCCACCCCTATCTCCCTTCGCTGACTCTCTTTTCGGACTCAGCCCACCTGCACCCAGGTGAAATAAACAGCCATGTTGCTCACACAAAGCCTGTTTGGTGGTCTCTTCACACAGACGCGCATGAAAGAGTATTTTTCCTTTTTTTCAAAATAAATAGTAATCTACTAATTAAACTCAGTATTTCATGACCTATTAATTCAGCAGTTATT
Organism: Homo sapiens; assembly: GCF_000001405.40. Lineage (NCBI taxonomy): Eukaryota > Metazoa > Chordata > Mammalia > Primates > Hominidae > Homo > Homo sapiens. Next base: position 192,136,195 of record NC_000002.12, read on the forward strand.
ATAATCCATCTTTAATTGGATTAGCTATAATTACAATTAAATGGTTCCCTGAATCTTAAAAGGTTAAATACAAGTCATTTTCCATTTAAGACTTAAATATGAATTGATAATGATAAGACAAGAAAGAGATTTCATCCTAAGGTTAATTGCTAAGTATTTTCCCCTATTTTCAGATTCAGCTTCCTTATCTCTTGCCTTTTTATGATTCATAAAATCTCAACTCTAGGACATACTGTCCAAATACATGGTATCATTTTTTTATAATTCTTAAATTAGCACTTACCTGTATTTTAGTGTAGAATAAAATAATTCTTTTCCTATATTAGGTGATGTTTCCATTTAAATTGAGTGTATAGTAGTATTACCAAGAGGAGGAAAGAAATATTGAAGACCTTTATGACCAAAACATAGGTAGATTTATCATTCTTTGCGGATTATTTCTTCTCTTTTTTTCTCATTCCTTCCCTTCTTCCTCTCTTTCTCCTCCATCTCCCCGCTCTCTCTCTCCTTTCCCTCTCTCTCCACACACATTTATGCCTTTTTTAAACATTAAGTTTCATAAATTAATATTTGACACCTGTTTCCATTTGGAAATAAGTCATGAACAACTAACTAAAGATAAACAACTAACTTTAGATTTATCAAAAGAACGTTATACTCCAGGGGCCTTTCATCTAAAAGATAACACATGGTTGTGTTAAATCACTAAGTTCAAATAATTTGGCAGTTATAATCTACTTAGGCACTTTGAAATTAACTACATCATTTGACAAAATTTTAGGAGGGGGAAAAGGAAAGAGAAGAAATGATTAAATGAATTTTTACAGCATCATATTTACTTCCATTCAACAGATACCGTTAAGGATAAAGGATATATCCATGTCCCTTTTTAACAGAGGGATAAGTCCCTAATCGCATATTGTAAGAAGTGGTGTGTAATCAGGCACATCAAGCATAACTTTCTGTGCTCCTTTGGTGCTTACCAGAGGGAGAGGAGGCAAGATGAATGACACTTAACTAAGTTACATTAAAAAGGATTCGTGAGGGTGGGGTACCCAAGAGATGTGAAGTGAAAGATTTTAACAGGGGAAGTGAAGGTAAATGGCCTGCTGAAAGGATGGAAGAGAATGAAAAAAGGCCTGGGGCAGAAAAGTCCAGGGCACAACACACATTCCCATCCCATTGAATTGGAGAGTGTGCTACAAAGTAGGCAGTCATGAAATGAAAGTGCGGAGAGGATGGTTGAAGTAACATTACAGAGAGCCTCATATGCCAGTGTGAGGAGTTAAAAATCAGCAGAGTTTCCAGCAAGGAAATGCCATCATTAGGGCTGTATTTTAGGTCGACTTACAGAAGAATGGATCAGAGTGAGAGGAGTTTGGGAGCAAGGAGAGCAGGCATAGGTGGTTGGTATCATCTGGCAAGACCAATAGTGGAGAGGGTGCCAAGAAGTTCTCAGGCAAAACAATCTTGAATGAGTCAGACTATAGGAAAGGCCTCAGATATCTGCATACCTATACACTGAGCCTGAGTAAAATACATCTATCTATATATCTACTTATATATATAATATATGTAATCTATTTATATATATATGTAATATATACAAATATATATATATATTTTGAGAGGGAGTCTCACTCTGTGACCCATGCTGGAGTGCAGTGGTGCGATCTAGGCTCACTGCAACCTCCACCCCCACAGTTCAAGTTATTCTCCTGCCTCAGACTCCTGAGGCACTCCTGTAATCCCCTCCTGGGATTATAGGCATGCGCCACCACACCCAGCTAATTTTTGTATTTTTAGTAGAAATGGGGTTTCAGCATATTGGCCAGGCTGGTCTCAAACTCCTGACCCCAGGTGATCTGCCTGCCTTGGCCTCCCAAAGTGCTGGGATTACAGGCATGAGCCACTGCGCCCAGCCTCCTGAGTAATATATTTTTGAAACACTGGCAACTTAACATTAGAAGTTCAATATCTTACAGTTACTACAATGTGTTAGGATGCAACTGTGTAATATAGAAGACTCTGTTCAAAAGAAGCATGTCCATAGAAAAGGCAAGAATACTGCATGTATGGTATATGTGCATCTGCTTAGAAAATTGTGACATCGGTACAGATATCTGAGCCAACGTAAGTGGCTAAGGGATAATACATTGCATTGCTTCCCACTCAGAATGTAGGGATGATGCTTTACAATAGTGCTTCTCAAACTTTAGTGAGAAGGAGAATTATCTCAAGGACTTGCTAACACACAGATTGTTGAGATCCACCTCCAAAGCTTCTCACCCCATAGGTCCGGTCTGAGGCCCTGAATTCACTTTTCTAATAAGTACACATATGATGCTGATGTTGCATTACACAAATCATAAAGTGGTGAAAGTAGCAATTTCGGGGAAATCTCAACCACCTGGGCATGTAACTCGACAACTCCTTCTCCTAATAGAAAGCATTTGAAATTATTGTGCTATCTTGATGAAACAGCATTCCTCAGATTGAAGACAGAACAAGGAAGGGAGTTTCTCATTCTGAAGTTTCTATTCTTGATTTAATCTTTAGCAGCAAAGAGGAGCTTATTCCTGAATCTGAAATAATGGAAACTTATAGAGAAAGCATCCATGACATTTTAGAGGTCAAGAAAAGGCTACTAAAGTACACCTTAGGTTTTAGGTAATTCCATTGAAAAACAATTTAAGAATCAACAGCTATTATTTTCTCCCTGGGGGGTTCAATGGGCAGAAAATATAAAGGAGATGGAAAGTAAAAATTGAAAATCTGGTAATACAATCACAAATGATATCGATGAGAAAAATAAAGAATCTGTATCCAAGGAAACCATCATAGTTGCTTAGGGCTCTCTTTCTGATGAGCTCTGATTTAAACAAAACGTGTACAACATATGAAGGGAAGAACATATAACCAAGGTTGAATACAAAAGAGAAACAATAATCTTTAAGAAAAGGACCAAGTGGCTGAAATTGTCACTTCTTACCTTTACTAAGGGACATTAAAGAAGTCTTCGCATAAAATATGTGTATATGTGATATAAATACTGTTTTTGGAGTAAATGAGACTTTAAAAGTGATGAATATAATCATCGCTTGGGAACAATGATATATTGTTAAATGTGGTAAAATGGTGGTTTGCTTTTATTTCTCTCCACTGGGAAAATTATTTTCACATTAGGAAGGACAGCACCATCAAGAGGTAATTGAAGCACAAAATAAGAGCAAAGATTATGAGAGCATTTTGTCTGTTTAAATGAATGTAGCAGTCCAAACACTGATGAATTACATTTGAAAGGTGAAACAAATCATTCTGGGTAATCACTGGGAAATGATGGTGAACAGAGTAAATCCCACAAGATCAGAGATGAACAAATGACCAATTTTCAAAAATGGATAAAAGTCAAAGTATAGAATCCAAAGATTTATGAGACTGTTATTCAACCCTGGACAATTTCATAAAAAGTTTTGCCAAACTAGTAGTTTGGAACTTCTAGTAAGTGGTGAGCATGCTGCATGCCAAACGAATCTCATTATTTCATGAGGTCTATCATTATATAAATCACACTTTAAAAATGCTCATGCTGCTCCCTTTAACTATGATGGAGAATGTGGGTTGAATGCTAGAATCTTTAATGAATTTGTAGCTATAGAAGAGCCCTACTTTAGGGATTCTAATTGTAAATCTGTAGGAAGGAGTCTAGAGAGGTAGCTTTCATCCTTGGCTCTGCTCCATTCAGTTCAACACTTTTTTTCTTTTTTCAGCAACGTCTTAGCTGAAAACTAAATGGCTTCCTTATCAACAAGGTAGTTGACTCAAAGCTGGAAAAAACTGACTGCTATCTTTGACACCAGACACAGAATTTTAAATGATCTTGACAGGTTAAAGGGATGAGGCAAAGCCAGCATAATGAAATTTAACTGGGATAAGGGATGAGACAATACCAAAATAATAAAATTTAACTGAGATAAATGAAAAATCTTAGATTTGTGTTGAGATGACAATTATACACATTGAGGACAGAAGATGTTTTCTTGACAGCAATTTGTTTGACAAGAACATGGGAGTTTTAATCGAGCTTTATAAACTTTACTGAGATAACATGTGGAGGGTCCTTATGGTGCCTGGCAGATACAGGCACTCATTAAATCATTATTTGTTGAAGCTCACTATGAGCTAACCACATAATCTGGCTGCTAAAGTTGTAGGCTGAATTATAGGAATGTGGTGTCCGCACCGAGGGAGATGATATTTCTACCACATTCTGTACTGGTCAGATCATTCACACAGTATTCTGCTCAGTTCTGGGTTCCACATTGAAAGAAATAGACTGATAAGAATGAGCAGCATTTAAAAAGAGGATGACCAGAATGGAGCCATATAAAAAAAACACAACGTGGGGGTGAAAGGTCGGTGAGGTTCACCATGATAAGAGAATGCTGAGGGTGAGCACCGTATCAACATTTCAAGGATTGGCATGTAGAAGAAAAAAAAATAGTACTCCAATTCCACAGGCAGAGGTAAGAGTGAAGTGGAAAGAATATTTCAGCTCAAAACAAGAAAATTTTCTAATAATTTCAATTTTTCAACAAGGAAAAACACCATGTCATGAAGTCATGAGCTTGCACGTATTTTAGCCACAGGCAGGACAGGGGGAATGATGTAGAGTTGATTTCTGAATAGGGCAGGAAGCTGGTCAATGGCTCCTATAGTTTCTGCCAAGTTAATTCAATAACTATTTATGGAGCATTTACTATGTGAAAAGCATTTTACCCCTTTCTGGGTATACAAAAGTGAGTGGGATGGAGTCTTTATCCTAAATATGCTTATGATCTTATAATGGAGCTAAGGTATGTACTCCATTAATTTTAAGGCTCAAAACTTATAGGTATGTCCTCTAAGAACCGAGAGGGTCCTGGAACCAGAGAAGGTGAAGGCTGTTAGAACTGTAGGAATATTATAAGCATATTGGCCAGGCGCGGTGGCTCACGGCTATAATCCTAGCACTCTGGGAGGCTGAGGCAGGTGGATCAGTTGAGGTCAGGAGTTCGAGACCAGCCTGGCCAACATGGTGTAATCCTGTCTCTACTAAAAATACAAAAATTAGCCGGGCATGGTGGTGCATGCCTGTAATCCCAGTTACTCCAGAGGCTGAAGCAGTGGAATCGTTTGAGCCCAAAAGTCGGAGGTTGCAGTGAGCTGAGATTTTGCCACTGCACTCCAGGCTGGGCGACAGAGTGAGACTCCGTCTCAAAAAAGAAAAAAAAAAAAAAAAAAAAGAAGTGTAGAAGTATTTCATAGAGCTAGGTCTCAAACATGCATTTGACTTTTATTATTATTTAGTAAAATAATTCCAGGTAGATGGGAACATTGTTAACAAAGCTACTAAGCTAAGAGAAACCCTGAACAGAAAGTTGTTTAGTTTGGATAAAACACAATGGTAAAGAGGAAGCATGAAAGAGAGGGCTTTGAAAGCTATGCCCCATCTTTAGAGGCAGGAAGGATCCACAGCACATGTTGGAGTGTGAAATTACCATGATTGAATTTATGTTTTAGGAATTGGCAGAAGTGGATAAGTTGGACAAAACAGGTGTATTAGAAAGAAGGTGACCAAAATCGAAACAACTAAGGATATTTGTATTTATTACAAACTGTCTATATTCCAGGGCACTAGGTTGAGGCTCTTTACAAATAACATCTCCTTCAATCCTCCTAGGCTTATATGGGAAAATTTAACTAAAAAATGATATAGAATCAAGTATATATTATCACATTATGATAATATATGCCACTGTATCACACTGTAATTTTCAGTGTGATAAAGACTTTACAGAAAAAATAAGAAAATAATCCATTAGAATATTTTTTAAAGACCCTCTTTGGGAAGTCAAAGAGGGAATGAAAGAGTTTGATGTGTGTTTTCATTATATCTAGGATCAAAATGAGATCTTATTTTAAAATGTAGTTTGTAAATTCTTGGCACTCTGTGAACGTTAGGTATCATATGTTTGTTACATGTAGATTTAAATCTTGGATTCTCCTAGAAGCAAAGAACTCAATCTGGCATATTGAGGTGACTTTGGTGAATAAATTAGTTCTCAGTGGGCCAAATGTAGTGCCTTTTGGTTTGAAGATCTGGCATATTTTTCAACATTGAAGATGACACCATTTTTTTTTCTTATTCTAAACCCATGAAGGAGTACATATACATTAATCTTTATAAAAAAGTTACACAAATTTCTCGTTGTTATAGATGCTAAAATTTTATCTGAAGATTGGCAAACGATGGGAGTAGCAATTAGCCAATTCTTTTACTGGACATTATGGAATTACGGAATCCCATAATGACTGGAATTATGGAATTATGGACTGGAATTATGAATTATGGAAGGCTGGAATTATGTAAAATTCTCTTGTGAACCATAAAGAAGTGTTAACTAAAAATATCCATGGCCTGGAATGCAGGTACTGATAGGAAGGTTTTATTAGGTTGGTACCTGGGATCTATGAAACGCAGACTATACCTACAGATTGAAGAAGCTATCATTTATTAAAAGCTACCACTGATCTAACACAGTGGACTGCTTCATATTCATACACCTGTGAATAAGGAAATGTAATAAGATTCCAACCAGATTCCAACCAACAAATCCCTAATTGATCAGTTTTTAGCCTGCTTATGAAGGACAACTCTACATAAAGCCCTATAAAAGATCCCAAACTAGTTGCTGACAGTAGTTCTTTTGTGTTCCACTAGCTGATTAAACATATTACTTGCCCACATTTAAAAATTAGGAGGTTTTGCAGAAAAATATTTCATGGAAACATGTTCAGCTTCCCATGAAAAATCAGATCTAGCATGTATGGATTCAAATTCATGCAGGACAACTATTAGAGAAATTAACTTGCTGCTGCTCATTTAGACAAAGCATGAGCTCTTTAGTCTACGTAAAACTCACCAGCCCCTACTACTCCTGAATTTTTTTTTAACAACTATATTGTTCACTTATTTGCCTGATCTATTTATCTAATCTAATCTTGATCTGTTTATCTAATTTAATGTTAGCAGCAGAACTGGGCATTTGAAAGCTGCTCAAATTCTACCCTGAAAGAGTGGTCTACTGCTCAGCACTACAGCAAATTTGACACACCAATTGCTTCTGGTGTATGCGGGCTATTGCATCCTCTTTGATTAATTTTTCTCCTAATAAAAAGTGCAAAAACTAACAAAAGTCAGCCTTCTATATTTATAAATTATTTATTTATTTATGCAAACCCATATGAAAAAATTAAATTCCTCAGTGAGTAACTATAATTGTATTTGTTGTGAACTTCCATGACAAAATTTGCCTAATTTACATATATTGCAAATTTGGTATTTATTCATTTTTTTAATATCATGGATGGCTAGACAGTCACATAATAAATATGCTTTTACCTTGCATCAGTTGAACTTCAAGAAAAATTAATTACATTCATCATTTCCTGATTTCTTTCTTTCTGTAATTTGAGTATCCCCATGACAACCACACATTTTCGTTAACTTCTGAGTAGCAGAGGCACCTTCCTGTAGCATTCCCTGCATTTACCAAGTGGTTTATTTGAAGGATATAAGACCTATACTCTCTTCTCAGTGATATTTTTAATAGTTACTTTTAATTTAGAATGTAAAATCTTTTGCACATACAGCGGTTTATTTTTGCCTGACTTTTTACTTCATAATGTCATGCTCTTAGGCCAGTCTTTATTCCATTTAACCATTTATTAGCTATGTGTTCATTCACACAAGTGGTTACACTACAAAAATAACACTGCAAGTATTACTGGGTTATTTTAAAACTGTGGTGGATATCAAAACACTTACAAAATCATAAGTCTTCATTTATGTGGTAAGAAAAACATAATTTCTATTTTTTGAAATCTGCGTTCAAGTACTTGAAAGACAACAAGGATAACTTATTCCTAAGAGCCCACAGTCCTTCCCACATCGTCGCCATCACCATCACTCTCCCCATTTTCTGATTTCATTTCTCAAATATCACCTGGGAAGTTTTTACCTCCTTTTTCTTTATTTTAATGATTAGTATGAAAGATTAATTTTTCCTCATTGCCAAGGGCATGATATTGGAGAACAGGTAAATAGATTTATCTGATGCTTTAAAAATTTTGATTCTACTGCTTTTCATCTTCTAGTCTCATCCAGACTCATACTCATCCCATACCCATCTCTAAGTATCACGCTCTATTTGTCCAATAATGTTAGAGCAGAGATAGGAGCCATCTTTAGCAATTTTAGCTTACCTAGCCCTTATCCAGCAATATTTTTACTGAATTGTCTAGCTTTATTCTGTCCTTTATTTTGTAGACAACCATAGAATTGGCTAAATTAATGTGTGTGCAAGTACGTTTTAACATTCATCTGATAGTACTTTAAATCTTGTTCCTGAATGAGCAAAAGCAAATGACAAAAGGTTAAATAACTTATTTAAATGTAATAACAACAAGTGCAGGGTTGTTTGGCTTTTATTAAGTTTTTTATGTTACCTTTTTCAAACAGAAGATAATGTTCCTGTACATGCTGAGAACAGGTGGTTTAACATACAAAGTTACAGTCACTAGTGGGATCATATCTAACTTGACTTAGTAGACTTCAACTCTTCTGATAAAATGATTAAAGTGATTAAAGGCCAAATCATAACTAATTTAATGTAAGATTTGGGAGTTTTCTAACATTTTCAAAAAAATACAAATCTGGGAGATTTTTGAGTAAACATTATTTGTTGATATACTTGAAACAAATAGGTATTTTATTCTGAGATATTTTCCCATTTTGGGGAAAACTGAACATACATTTTTAACAGAAAAACAAAATTTTCTAAGGATGTAAATATGCATATTATATAGTGCTAGTCCTAGTACACAAGGAACACTAAATTATATAACAATATCTTACATTATTAATTACTTATTAACTTTATTAAGTACAAGAAATTTGATCTTGATTCCTTTGAAAAGTAACTAATTTTGCAACATTATCATTAGAAAATACATACTTGTGTTTATAAAATTCTGATTATGTATTCTATAAATTCAGTAACGAATGTCACGAATCTTCATTGTATATAAGAACTTTTAAATATGTGTGCATTTCTTTTTACAGTAAAATGCTGAGCTGAAAAGAGACAGCAATATAGAAGTATATGGTAACACAGAGTACCCATTTTTAAGTAAAATTTTATTTCAAGTAAGCAATTCCTTGGCAGTAGCAAGGAATTAAAAGTCTATATTATACTAGGAATCAGAGATTTTAATTAATACAATGTAACGTTTTGAAAGTATGTCCACTACATGATAAAAAAAATGACAAAGCATTCATCTTAAATAATCTTTTGGGGATGGCTCTTCTGCATAATTGAAAAAACATGAGTAAATTTCTGTGTGAGAAGAACAGAGTCATGGCTAAGGTCACAGATTCTAGGCACAGATTACTCACTTTAAATACTGTACTGTCAACTTACTAGGCACGCAGTCTTGGGAAAGTTATTTAACTTCTCTGTGCCTCAGTTTTCATCGGTATATTTTAGGGTTGCCACAATGATTCAATGTTTTATTCTACTTATAGAACTTAGAATAGTGAGCAACATCTTGCAAGCACCATATAAACTTGTTCTTACCATGTCAATGTGGCACTTCCAGAAGATGAAGCCCTTTTGAAGACACAAAAAGAAAAAAAACTGAAAAGCAACTTAATTGCTTCAGTGAACTGATTAACTAAGCATATCACACTCAAATGTTAGCAGGTGAGGAAATAGAGCACGTTTACTCCTGTGTTTACTATCACAAGACAGGCAGGAGAATCACCTCATGCAGGCAGGAAAAAAAACACCATAAAAATATTCACAAAAATATAAATATCACAAAAGACAAAATAACTGACATCCTGCCACCATGCTAGGTTCCATCTCTATGACAACTGCAAAAAATTTTTTAAAAGTCTTTCTAGTTAGGAGAAAATGGATTATTCTCAGAACATAGGCTACTGGCCAATAAAAACATTGTGGAAAAAGAACTGACAGAAACTCCAGGTTTGATTTTTAAAGAGTTCCTCTGACATTTGATTTATTTTAAATATTGGGCTAGATTAAAATATGCCAGGAAATGGGTGTGGAGGGGAGGAAGAGATCTGAGACTAGAAAAATTAATGACCTAAAAATATTGTAATTAATTTTTCACATTGGCTTTAAGTGATAATTATTTTAGATTTTTAGAGTCTAATGACAGCATTTTCCCTAAAGCCCAATTTGCAAGCTCTTCTCCCCAAGTGTCTGCTTAGTCATCAGCTTAGTCATGTGAACTGCTACATTTCTGATTCATTGAGAGAATGTGAATATCCTATTTTCTGAATTTGTAAGCTTTATAGAGGCCCATAGAAACAGCCTATAGTGTGTGTGTATGTGTGTGTGTGTAAGTTATTCTCCAATTGCACATTTTCTAACAACTCTTTTAAATCTAAGAAAAGAAAAAATATATTCCAACAAACCATACATAAAAATACTGGCCAGAGAAACTTGCATAAGAGCACCCAGAGCCATATTCATGGCTTAGTGATTACACTCTTGAACAATTTTCCCCATTTACAGGCTTACAGCGTAAGCTAAGCAATACTGGTTGTCTATGAGTCTGCAGGGGAATTTTTTATTTGGAAAGTTCAAAGGAAAAATTGTAACTATAATAAAACATAAACATTTCAGTTTTAGTTTTCAAGACTTCATACACAGCTTTTATTTTTAACCATAGTAATACATTAAAAGGCATAATTAAAATACTCAGTCTATAAATAGATGACAACTGCACTTTACTTTAGCCTTCTGCTTTCTTGGGTCACTCTTCTTTTTAAGTGGCTTTTAAGACTCCCCTTTCCAGAATTATTGATATGAGTAGTCATAAGAAGAAACAGGAACTCTTGTAGATATAGTGAAAATATGGACTGGCATCTACTAGTTAAACTGAAGATTAAATCACAGTGGGTATATATAAATTCAGATAGACACAGTGAGCTAGAAGTAGCAGACAGTAGTCCACTTATAATGATAAACAATACACTTCAGTTATCTTCCTTTATGTTTTATTTTCTCTTTTTTTTATTATACTTTAAGTTTTAGGGTACATGTGCATAATGTGCAGGTTTGTTACATATGTATACATGTGCCATGTTGGTGTGCTGCACCCATTAACTCGTCATTTACGTTAGGTATATCTCCTAATGCTATCCCTCCCCACTCCCCCCACCCCACAACAGGCCCCGGTGTGTGATGTTCCCCTTACTGTGTCCAAGTGTTCTCATTGTTCAATTCCCACCTATGAGTGAGAACATGCAGTGTTTGGTTTTTTGTCCTTGTGACAGTTTGCTGAGAATGATGGTTTCCATTTTCAACAAACGTTAAAAAAAATTAATACCCAATTGTGCTACATCTACTTGCAATTTCAACTAACCCTTTCATCTTACTATAATCAACCCCAAACATTTGACTGGGGCTCAGTGGAAGCATTTACTTGACTTTCAACATGATAGCCATTAGCTATTGGATGGCTATGATTTTTCATGCAGCATGCAGTTTGCTTTTTTTCCCCCTTATATCCCCAAGGTACAAATAAATAGATACAGTAGTGTATTAACATCTGTTTTACAAAACTGCTTCAGTTGTGATATATATTTTTAATATAATAAACTGACTGCATTATGATGAACAATTCTAGAATGAATAAACTCATAAAAATTCATTGGTAATGCCTGTTCCTCAATTAAGGAAAGTCTGTCTATTGAGCTTAGGAGAATTGCTTGTAATGAGTGGAAAGCTCAATCATGTGTCCCACAATCACTGCAGCTAATGCTTACATTTAGGTTGCACAGAGTATCAATTTGGGCTATATTTCAAGGACAAGCTCCACTAACCTTTCTGCTCTTTTCCTCAGCAGTGATACACTGGTTCACTCAAAAAGAAAAAGCCTGGTTTTTAAGATCCTGTTACTAATCCATTTAGAAAAGCAGCAGTGTTGTTTGTTCAAATATAACATGCATTTTGAAGAGAAAGTGTTGGATCTGAAAGGTTTCATATTTTCCACAATAATATGACTATCACAGAAGGGAAAGGCAAGGTTTTCAGATATTATAATGATATACTTGATCGACAGTCCATGGAGAAAGTTGAGATTTCTGTTCCCCTAGGTTTGCATTCCTCTTCCTTGTCCTTCTTTCCACACTTGACATGCTACAGAATTTTGACAACTGAAGAACATCTCTGGAGTACTTATTACTTTGCTTGTGAACTCCTTGGCCTAAGTAGGGCTGTGTGATATGTCATTGACTATCAGAAGGCCCTTAAACTGTTTACTCTTCGTTAATATTGAAGAATGCTACAGTGAGTGATCTGAGGAAGTCCAAGTGGCCAAAGGACACATTTTAAATTTGTTTTGTTCCAAGGCATTACACAGTAAAAGCATAGTGCAAAATTAATCTGGCCAGCAGGAGAGTGCAGGTTACACAAAGCATCTGCTGGCTGCCTCTGGAATAAAAACACTGCATTTGTCTAGACTTTATTTACGATTCATTTTTGGCATAACTAGTTGTTACTGCTGAAAGCCAAATTATAGCAGCCTTGTGTAACAGATTACCTCAAAAGAAGACAAATTCTAAAGTGGAATTTTTTTTAAATTTTTAAACAAATGTATTTTTAGACTATCTTCTGTGTCCAGGAGGTCCCTAAGTCCCACAGCATTTTCAGCATTTTTAGAATGACAAGAAAACCACAAAGAGAGGCGAGAAGAAACAAGAGAATGGCTTATTTTTTCCCCATTTCCCTCAGTCACAAGCTACCAATCACTTAGTGACTACAATATTCAGGCCTTTAATTTTGCATTCAACTGCTGTTCATTGTCTGATAGGTTTTGTTGGATTGGGAAGTCGGATGGTTCATGCCTAGGGCCTCAAGAGGAAGGGAGCTGCGTCCCTCAGAATGACGTTCAGTGAAAGCTTTCTCTAGAAGCACTTGGTAGTCTGATGAGTGTATTTCAGCTTCACAGCAACATGTTTTCTTTTGCTATTTCATTTGCACAAAAAGCAAGCAGTGCTCTTCTGCCTCCAAAAATATGTACGAGTGGGTGTGTATACAAGAATGAGAGAGACAAGCATAGTGAGGGGGGAGGAAGAAGGAATTGAAAAAATAGCTCCAATTATGCTTTTTCTATTCTTCAAATTTCATTTGGATCTCTTCTATAGGAGAGCTGTGCTGATTAAAGACTTCTGGGGGATTTTTAATATTTGAAGCAATGGAGCTTTGAACTCAGAACATGGAAAGGGAATATTAGATGTACATTTAATAGAAAAGCTGCCTTAAATATGAAGTTCAGAGTATAAACTTAGTTTGTGAATTTTTTCACACTTACACTATGCACATGAGCTCTAAATTAAAGCTTATGGTAATGATAGTAATGGTTATACTACTGTCTGCCTTAAGAACAGTAAATAACCTGTGATGAAATATGTTGGAGTCACACATTCTAAAGACAGAAGAGTGTAATAAGAAGTCTATCTTACACGTACCATTACATATTTTCATACAATTTCTTGATGAAGGGATTGACTTGTTTATTGTTAAACACACAATTCCATGAAGGCAAAATATTATATAACTTCCTGGCTAACTTTCAACTATAATAATTTAATATCTCAGTAACTTTATTAAGTGCAACTTCTATCTAACATTAGTTTAGAAGGCCCATTATACAGCAATTCTTTGTAAGGCTCTGGAAACCAATGTTTTGTTGCCAGGCACTATTTAGAACTGATATTAATAAGTTCCACTTGTGATTTTTGAGACATATCTTGTTCATTTATATACATCATTTTAAAATTAATTAAAATATAACTAACAAGTGAACAAATAAAACACACAAGATGTTTTAGATTTTTTAAATTTGTATTTTTCCTCAACGGAAACTTAGTTACCATATTCCTCTAAAAAAATATACAAACAAGGATAGTGACACACAAGAATTGTTATTAAAATAATCAGGCTGACGTTGACAAAAGAACAGAAGGAAACTGTTAGTAGCCAGATGTCAGCCATGCCCCTAACAATATGGGCCAGTGTGGGGTGTTTCACAATTCACTTGTATCAAGCCTTGATCTACAATCTTGGAGAAACATTCACCGCTCAGCCCAACACTGTCCAGTTGAATGCTTTTTACAATGTTAAGAAACAAACCTAAGGAACAGAAACTAAAATCAGGGATGTTTTTGGTGGATGCTTTAGTGCACAACTCTGCAGTAATGCATAGAACAGGTGCATCCAGGCCCTGCACTACATCCTATGTTCTTTATTCCACTATCAGTTCTCTTCTGGTTTGGGTTACTTTTCCTAAAGTGTCTCATACTTGAGGCATCAAGAGTGCTTCCAAAGCACATACTCCTAGGTCCAAGCAGAGGACACTTCATGTTTTTTTTTTTTTTTACATTCAGTTCTAACTTCTCAGGGAACAAATGGAGGATGGGAGCCAGAATTTCCACCCTAGTACATTTCTCCTCCCAGCCTCTTCTTTGTCTTTGAAAAGTTTGAGTTTAGCATGTCAAGTTTACATTTTCATTCTCTGTGGTTGGAGATGAGGTGGGTCACACATTTCATATGAGTTTTTCTCCCTTAGAAAGGATTCATTACTTTGGTGATATGGTTTGGTTCTGTGTCCCCACTCAAATCTCATCTCGAATTGTAATCCCTATAATCCCCATGTGTCGAGGGAGGTACCATATGGGAGGTGATTGGATCATGGGGGCATTTTCCCCCATGCTGTTCTCAAAATAGTGAGTGAGTTCTCATAAGATCTGATGGTTTTATAAGGCAGTTTTCCTCAATCTTGCTCACTCTCTCTCATCTGCTACCATGTAAGACATGCCTCTTCCCCTTCCACCATGATTGTAAGTTTCCTGAGGCCTCCCCAGCCATGAGGAACTGTGAGTTAATTAAACCTCTTTTATTTATAAATTACCCTGTCTCAAGTATGTCTTTATAGCAGTGTGAAAACAAACTAATACACTTGGTTAAGAATATGGGCATCAGTTACTTTTTAAAAACTCTCCACATAATTCTAATATCTAGTAACTTTTGAGAACCATTGGTCTGCTACTGTTTTAAGATGATCACCATGGCTGTAGTATGTATAACTGTTTAGAAAAATCAAGAGTTGCATTTTCACATGTTCATTTGGAGATGTCTGAACCTGAATCTAAGAGCAACTATGTTGATTAAGAAACTCTAAGGGAAAATTGGGAAAGACGAGTTTGCTTTTGTTTGTTTATTTGTTTGTTTTTTTAACCAGTGACTATCAAGAGCGTGATGGTTAGAATTTTGAGGTAAATTTCCAAGTTTAGTCCCCCAGACTAGAAGTGTAAACAGGAACCAGAGAAGTAAATTGTTCTCAAACTTTTCTCTGACACTCAGAAGGCCCACCCTGCAAGGACTATCATGAGAGAGTCTAACATGATGGGAAGAAGACATTCTCAACATTTTTGCAGAGGAGTTTTAGTGATGAGATGTTTAAATAGTCTCATCTTGGGAGAGCCTACAGGTGGCAACATAAGTGGGTTGTGATTGCATTACTAGTGGGCATGCACCTGGCTAACTAAGCAATATGACAAAAGAGAGTTGGGCTGCAGGGGAGGAAAATGGCAGATGTTCCATGTTGGCTAAGGGTAATTGTTCAGGAACCTTGTGAGTCATGTCCTTAGTGGCTTCTAGAGTGGTTGGGGAAGTATTCAGGGAGGAAGAGGGCTTGAGGTCCCATAACAGCAATTATGAGGTGGTAATCCGGAGATGAATGTGTTACCCACAAAAGAATAATGCATTCATGCATAACCAAGAGCTGAGAGCACAAGGATGGCTGCCAATTTTTATCTCATGCATAACTCAAGTAATCCATACTGTCCAGCTGAGAACAACACTGGTGTGACTGTGGGTGACAGTGAAGGCTTGTCTTTTGTATTGTAAATATTATACTAAATGCAAGGTTTGAATCCAGATAGGAAAATCAGTCATAGGAACTCTTCATCCCCATATCTATATGGTTTTCAATTCACCAAATCAGAGATTTCTCTTTAGCTTGTTTCATAGGCACTAAAATTACCTAATATGATTGCTGTTGTAATCATTTCTGACCTCATGGAAGGTAGTTAAGCAAGAAAGAGACCAGGACATTATATGATATAATAGGGTCATGAAAAAAAAGGATTTGATGCTGCAGTAAAAGTAATGAGTGGCCCCAAGGGGGCACAGTCACATTTATCAGATGCAAAACTTCTTATTCACGTTTTAAAGACTGTAAAACATAACGTCTATGAAGGTAGCTAGTATGGTACCCGCACACAGCAGATAGTTGCTATGAATCTATTTTAATAAAAGTGAGCACAGATTATAGATTAGAAAAAAGACAATTATTTAATCAACCCAGAGTCATTTGATCCATTTATAATATTGGCATTATTTCAACTAACAACTGTATTTGTCTAGTACATACAAAAGAACTATGTTGGAATAACCTACAGGCCACTAATTTTAACAGGTTGATGAAGGCTGAGAACTGTTTTCTAACTATTATAATAACCAAAGACAACCATTCTCAGAATATATTTAATCAAAACCCTACTTTAGTGGATTTATCAGCATGTACCATAAGGATGAACTGGTCAAGTCAGGTTCCATTACAACCTTAAAACTGAGACTTTTATGCATGAAGATATTAGTTAATTTGGTGTATAATTTAAACTGATTGGAAATGTTAAATTTAAGAAAATTCTTCAATGGTCAGTACAGAGCCTATATTTAAATATTTTAAATATTTAATATTTACTATTAAATTAAGAATTATTACTCTTTTTAATAAATCTAAGAGTTAGTTTATTTGCTTAAAATATATACTAGACCTTTTAAAAGAAGTAGGTTATAGATATTAAGAATCTAAACCAAATTATATTTTTCTATACTTTTTAATATTAGCCCTTATAAATAATCTCACTGCATTTTATACAGCATGATATACCTGAATACTGGTATTTTTTTAAAAATTATGGATTTATAATTATTTCCACAGATGACTTTGCATCTAACTTCCCACTGTGCTTCTTTCCTAGCATATATACCCATTTCATACCTACCAATTTATTGATGAGTAGCCAATTCCCCAATTCTTACTTGTAGATGCATCTCCATTTTGTGCAGATTCACTGATGGCAGCCAATGATCAGGTACCAGGGTCAACTTTACCCTGTTTGTGATAGAGCAACAACTATTGTGCAAGCTGATCATCAAATATTTTGCCAACCATGGGACATTTTAATTAGACTATTTAAAATCAACACTCAGACACAACTCATGATGGGTAATATCTGTTGATGTGCCATTCTTATATTTCCTGGGGCAGAAATCAACACCTGTGGTATGAAAAGCATATTACAGGCTGTCTACATTGTTTTCTGTTTTGAAAGATGCTGATCTGTCACAGATGCTGACGTACATTGTAATGCTCAAAATACTCTATACTCGAATAGGGATGAAAGTGCTGATGCTACTCAAATAGGGATGAGATGGCTGATGCCTACTTGGGAACGCACCAGAATGGCTGGCACAGGTTCAATCATTAAATAAACATAAAATCGCTTTTTCATTTTGAGAGAAAATTCTATCAAAACTAGCTTAAATTCTTACATGGTTGGGGGAAGGGTGAATACAAAACAGTGCTTGTATATTAAATTTGAAGGCAGAGGAAGTTAAATGCAATGCTAATTCCATTAACCAGTTTCTGATTAGTGACATGGCTGCTTTTGAAAATGGGGAAGGATTATCTTTGTGCTTCCAGTGGTTCCCTTGGGTTCCTATGATTAGAGGAGTCCAAGACTATAGGGGAAATGTTACACTTGGCAATGTTACACTTCAGTATTTAGAACCAGGACTTATGACCTTCCTCATCCAGAAGTGGTGTATGTTTGTGGGGAGGAGAGACACTAAATAATATGTAACACTGGGTACAACTCTCTCTAGTGAATAGTTCAGGGTTGGTGTGTGATAGAGCTTTGTATAAGAGAGAGGACGCTCTGATTGAGGATGTGGTTTGAGTAAGCATGGACATAATGATAACATGTATACTTTCTACATTGGTACAGTAAGCATGCTAAGTTAAATTTCTGACTTAGCCATGACTGGCATTCACTCCTCAAATTCCACAAATCAAAAACAGTGGAGAGCTTCTATTTAGAAACTACTTTGGTGCTTGTGTCTCCAATAAGGACCACAGACAGAACTTTGTATCAACCTTAATGAATTTTATCACTTATTTCATTTATTTTGGGATAACACATAAAGTAGCATCTCTTTTTAATAATCCTTCTAAATTATAAAAGCTTCCATAATGCTTATAGCAGGTACGTTCTTTTCTCTCTTTTCTCTGGAGACTGTTCAGGTGATCGCCAAGGGACTGTTTGTGCTTAGATTCCACCTCCACAATGGAATTGAAACATATACATATTCTTATGAGGCTGGTGATATTGCAACCACCATCTTCATGCAGCTGATTTTTGAGGGCTTCTTGCCTGCTTCTCATCCCTGGTCTTTGGAAAGTACATTCCCCCACTTTGACAGGTTTCTGTACCACTGCATTTTGGGCAGAATAGGTCTAAATGGGTTTTCAGCTTCTCTCCTTCTATAAAACTTATAAGATCTTTATGCGAAATTTTCATACCCTTCCTGGGAACTTTAAGTTGGATATCGATATTTCTTTCTGTTAAAAAAAATAAAAAAGGCAAAGTTTCCTCCCATTGGCCAATGCACCCTGTGGTGACAATTATTAGGTTTTGGTGTTGTACTATACAATTTTCTTGTTTTCCAAGCTTATGGTTGGAACAAAATCATTTAGACAACAATAAAATATTTAAGATAGTACAAAGCTGGAAAGCACCTTATATATCAGCATGATTTTGACCGAGAGCCTATTGGGAGAAATAATTTAGTTTTGGGAGAAATAATTTAGTTTCATTAACTAAAGTGGCTATCCTTGTCACTTTGGCTAATCAACAGTGACTCAGGAACTATGTCTATCTGGGAAAGAGTAAAGAGAAGAAAGCGTGGGTTTTTAAGTAAAATAAGATACAGATTATGAAAATCCTTATAAACACTTGGCTTACAGTAACTGTAATTCTAAAGTATTATTACTAAAACTGAGACTGAGGGTGAGATTTTTATCCAACTTAGACTCTTCAAGATAGGCATTAGTTTGTATCCAAAAGAGTAGGATTGCTGTATTTGGAATCCATGGTTCTAAGCCATAGCTGCTAATTGGACAAGAGAGAGGGGAGGCTTAGCTGTATTTCTGGAATTCCTGGATTGTTTTTCTCTCTAAAATCAGTTTAAAAACCATCTGAGGCAGTTGGCAATGCTGCCCAGCAGCTGCCCAAGTAGCAACTGCAACAGCTGGATCAATACAGCTACTGCTACAACAAAGAGAACTGCCAAGACCCATGAAATGTCTAAATAAGCAGAGGCCTGGTTTTATTTACTTGTCAAAAAAAGAAGAAAAAAGATGAGGCCTAACACTTGTTTTTATAAGAAATTATCTAAGATTTTATGGTATTTCTGCTTAAAATAGCACAGAGGAACTGAAACAGGAATCTAGAGACCAAAGCTGTTACTTACTACTCATTATGTTATAGAATTTATAGCATATGGCTTAATGCTCTTGAATACAAGAAACATTAAAATACAGAGGAACATTTGAAAAAAAAAAACAAGATAATAGAGGTTTCAACGTCATTGAATCTTGAACTATTCACTCAACAAATATATGTTGGGCACTTAATCTAAGCCAGATACTTAGGCTGGTGCCCAGGAAACAGATATGGAAAACAGACAAAAACCTCTGCCCTCTTGCAGCTTACCTTCAATATTTTTATTTTATCCATTAATTCTGTAGCTTCTTTAATTCAAATAAGTGATCTCTTATCCATAATGCTAACAACAGGTAACATTTCATGAATGTTTATATGTACCGGATACTGTTCTAGGTACTACACATACATGAATACATTTAATCCTCAAAACAACTCTATGAGGCAGAAATTGTTTTTACAGATGAGAAAACTAAGCCACAGAGAACAGCATTAATGTGCCTAAAGTTCCACAGTTAGGAAGAAGTGGCATTTCCAGTATTCAAACCCAGAGTCTGGGTCCTTAATCCTTATACCCTACTGCCTCCTCATACAACAACCACTCCACAATGCAGTTGATGGGTATTCTTGATTAGTTTATTTCTATTGATTTAAAAATTAAGCACATTGGTACCTTGTCTTTAAAGAACAAGTTTCTGTTTATAAACAGGGTATATCACCAGTAACAAATTTTACATATGCCAGAAATATGTAGGCCATGAGAGTTCTTAAAAATAAACACAAAAATCCCAGCTCTCAAATCCGATTCCGAATTTGGCGGTTATAAAATAATCACACTTAAAGTGTCTCTCTCACCTGTAAGCCAGCATATACCGTATCTACAGACTGAAATGCTATTTATTTTGCAGTGAGCACAGAATCCTGAGACCACGCAGAAGGATCACTGGGATTATTAGTCTAAACTGTTCCTTTTAGAGATGAAGAATTAAGGTCGAGAGAGGTTAACATATGTTCTTAAAGTCACATTTGAGAGCCTACTATCACTTAGAGATTGTATAATAGTCCCAATTTTTCTTTAACATAATTTGAGGATTAATGGACCAAGATGCAGTTTGTATAGGATGGTGTAGATAAGATAGCTATGAAATTCTTCCCTGGCAACCTCCAGAATATTTAATATGAATATTGTGATTTAGGGAAATCAGTGTCAACTTTTCCTACCTGACATTTGGGACAGTTTAACGAAAACTTTAAAATTTCTTTAGAACAGAAGGTGTTCAAACCCAAATATGGTATAGATAAAGTCTGACTGAGGTAAAGTGGCAACACAGTATAAACTATTAACTTTGTTGCCAAACATATCTGTTTGAATATTGATTTTGTCTCTTAGTAACCTGGACATCTTAGGCCACTTTTTTTACTCTGAATCTTAGTTTTCTCATCTGTAAAATAGGAAGAGAAATGCGTATTACTTAGATTGTTATATATATCTTAAATAAGTTAATGTATATAAGTATTAAAGCTTAATAAAAACACATAAAAGTTAGTTTCTGTACTCTGTGGTTTTCTTAATTATTGTGACTAAAAAACAAAATAGCTCACAAGAAGTGTAACACTTATTTGGATATACGTTTCTGAAATGATGTCTCCAATATATCATATGTCAAGAAGTTTGTAAATATATATTTATTTTTAATGTGAAAGCAAGACATCACTTTGACACCACGTATGGCACTTCTAAGCTTATTTATTTGTTTCTACCGTCCCTATTCCCTCAAATTTTAATAAAAGTATACCTGAAAAGCCCACTATAACTTTATTCCAGGCTATGGTAAAAAAGATAAAATCTTTGATAATAGGAAATTATTTTAAGTGTTAAAAAATCTTCATTGTCTAGCTTAAAATGACTTTTTAAAGCATCACCTGCACCCTTTCTCTCCTTGCATTTCATATTCTAGTCATGCCAAACCATCTGTTGTTCCCTGAAAATGCCATGCTGTTCCGCACTTCCATGTCTTCATGTGCGTTTCCTTTATCTCAAATGGCCTTTTCCTTGTTCGTTTGCCAAGTTCTTACCTGTTTTAGTCTACCAGTGGTACAATCCTTAGAGGCAGGATCCACGCCAAATTTATTTTTGCCTCCCTGGCACAGTATGAGTACCATGCAAAATGTTTGTTATGTGAATTTATGAAGCAGATGATCAAGCAGGGGCAATACCATCTTCATAAAAATGTGAATTTCACAATAATGTAAGAAATTTATCTGTACAGCCGTCTACTGGCACTTTAAGAAAGACTGAAACACAGACTTAAAAAATCTATGGAATGATGGTATTACTGTTCAGATATGATTATCATTTCATAGAGGACCAAATTTAAAGGACAGAACTTATTTGGATATACATTTTTGAGATTATATCTCTGATATATTGTGTGTCAAGAACTTTGTAAATCTAGATTTATTATTTTTAATAAAGCTAGACAGATCTGATGCTAGCCAAGCATTTTAGCCATCAGTAATGTTCATTACTTGGCACAGAGTTGGTATTTCCTAATAAATTTTAAAATAACACTATGCGATATTCAGTAGAAAATAATATATTCAAAATCTACTTTAAAGCATTTACATCAGAATATCACAAACCCATGTAAAAATTACCCATGGTTACACTGACTACTGAAAATTAGCATTTCCCCTATGTTTTTGTCTCCACTCTAGTTCCCTTACATTAGATGTTATTACTCCACACTTTAAAACCTCTAGTGCTGGTGAGACTTACAAGTAAGGATTCAAGGTATTAATCCTCTCCTAAAGCTAGAAAAACAACCACAGCAACTCACAGAATGATCCACTGAAATCAGGAATAAAAATAATTGTGCATCGTATGCTTGTCAATAGGAAATCTTTAGTACATGAATTTAAAAAGAGAGCAAATCGGAAAATGATAAAAATGCCAAATTATTCAACACCTAAACTATTCTTTAATGTTTAACTCATGTCCCAACTCCTTTCTAAGGTTCTCCCTATTGACTACCTAACATAGGGTCGAGCGATCATTTTTTTCTGAATGACTACAGACCATACCTTCTGATCTGAAGTTCCATGTATGGAGGTTTTCACTCTCTCAAAGGACTAGAAACTCCTCCTCAAGGCCAAGAGATTATTCTATAAAGATTATTTTGTAACCCCACAGTGCTAAAAGCATTGTAGATAAATAATAAATATTTGATGACTCTTATTTGTCAACAAATGCTAAATGGGGAATCGCAGGCACAATGCAGATTGTTTTATGCTACCGTTATTTGTAGTTAAGGGAAACCCCCAAGGCAAGACTTTATACAAGAAGGAACAGAGAGGAGAGTGTTGAGGGGGGGATCAAGGCCGAAGGATAGCATCAGGGACTAATTCTTCATTTGACAAATAGATTGTCTCCTGTTCCCCAGGCAGTCTGCTGCTGAGCATAGATGAGCTACAGTAACCAGATTGGCTCATTAAAATATAGTCCCTTTAGTTCAACATGACTCATCTTTATGATGAAGCTGTGATTCTGGGAACTGAATGCGCTAGTTTTGCTACTGTCATGACACCCAAAAGAATAGCATGAAACTTAATTTTTAATGACTTCATATTCAGTTTACTGCCATTGTATATAGTTCAACCTCTGTATGGACTTAACATCTAATAAAATTTGGTAATACAAAAAACTGTCATAGTAGTCCCTTTGAGCAATGGCTTACCCTAACTGCTTGGTATTGAAAGCTTGTTAATCTATTTCAAGGAAGTGTTCTAGATAATTAAACAGTCTTCTTCCATCCCTTAATATTTCCCACCTCATTGCCCTGCTTCAGCAAAACTTATTGCCATGCTAGCACAAATATTGTCTGTTCACTTCTCTAGTTGCAGAACCTGAATAGGGGCCTGATACACAAAATGTTGATCAAGAAATAAAAGTCATTTGCCAAACCAGTTCTTTGGAAATCTCAAAGTCTGAACCAAGAACTTGAACTTCTGCTTTGTGTGAGACAAGGGCTAATGAGAAGAAGTAATAGGGCCAGTGATAATTACTGGGTTACCATTTCCTTTGGCAACGAAATGAATAGACTCTATTGCTGCCAGAGGTTTAGTATTCAGAAGATGTTTTCTATTGTGATATTACTGCCTGGAAAAAGGGCATCTTGTTTGACTGCCTTCTAAAATTTTGAGAGACTTAGGCCTCTTAGGTGGAGCAAATATGTGTGTTTGGGGAGGGGAGGCCAAGTTGGGTGAAATTGAGAGAGTACTCAATAGATTTCAAAAAGAATTTGGTATCAAAGTCAATGTGAAGGCTGAAATATAAGTTGCTGGGTGAGTCCTATTAATACTGTGTATCAACATTTGGTTTGGCAGAAATTCTATGTACCCTGTTAAACACATTTTTGCAATATCTGTACTGTAATATCCACTTTAGTGATAGATGTTTAAGATACCATATTTTACAAGAATTGTCGAAGAATCCATTAAGCTCTATTAGAAAATTTGGCTTCTGGCACAACTCTGGACTAAGAAACTGCCTGGGAGAAAAAAAGATATTAAAAATATTCATTAAGAAAAGAACAAGCCCTACAAACAATTTACCTACAGAATCATAACACAAAAGCAGCAGCAGCAACAAAAACAACAAGGCAACTGGAAGGTGAGCCAAAGATTTGAATATTAAAACCCATGGGGAGAGACTGATCTAAGTCTCTGTGGAGCCTGAGCTTTTGCAATTTAGGGGACCTTCTTTAGAAAAAAATACATTTAACATTACAAAGGCACCATGATGTATATAGATGTATCTTACATTTCCAAAACAGGAAATATAAGATAAATGGAAAAGGATGTGCAGAAAGAACAGAGAAAAAGGCATTTGCAGCAGCAATGATGGCATGGTAATTATGCATTATAGTAAACTGGATGCAATAGGCAGCAGTAATGCTGACAGAGAAGAAAGTTTATGTAGAGGAAAGAGAGGAGAAAAAGAGACCTTGTGTGAAGTAAAGAGATCTTTAAATCCGAGAGTCTAGAGTCATCACTCTGCCACGCTAAAGGCTTATCAATCTTAGGACAGCCATTTTATTGCTAGAGAATTGCTAGACAGTTGTGGAGCTCACCCTAAGGAAGTGGGGACACTTTACCGTCTCCCAGTCTCATCTTCCCATGTCATCTCCTATTCCTCTCCCCTTGCCCCCTCCCGTTTGCATACCAGCGTCCAAGCAGATTCAACCTATGAAACAGCATATTAATTTATTTTTATTTTTTTGAGACAGGGTCTTGCTCTGTCACCCAGGCTGGAGTACAGTGGCGTGATCTTGGCTCAGTGCAACCTCCGCCTTCCGTGTTCAAGCGATTCTCCCTAGTAGCTGGGATTACAGGCACCCACCACCATGCAGAGCTAATTTTTGTGTTTTCATTAGCAGGGTTTCACCATGTTGGCCAGGCTGGTCTTGAACTCCTGACTTCAAGTGGTCTGCCCTCCTCGGCCTCCCAAAGTGTTGGGATTACAGGCATGAGCCACCTCACCGGCCTGAAACAGCATAGTAGTTTGCAAGAAAATTGTATGACATAAGTGAATCCATAAGCCATGTCCATCTAAAGGCAGGCATAATGCACTTCCAAATTTAAAGACTTTCAATTTTGGGATGTATAGTGTAAGCAATTAGTCAACTTGCTTGAGTCAGGAACGATGTGAAAGTTAAACATGTGGACCAGTCTGGAGACAACTGTGTCCTTTTCTTCTGTTAAAGAAAACAGGCTTTGGAGCCATCCTTTCCCCAGTACACAAAATAATGTGTTGCCTAGATCATGAGTTTGTTGTGGGCAGTGATAAGCCCTGTTCATCTTTTATTTTTTAATCTCTGGTCTCTCACTCTGTGCCTGGCATTAAAATGGTGTTCGATAAAGCATAAGGAACAAGCAAAGAGAGGAAGTGTGATTCTTTTTTCATTTCCTGTGAACACATTAAATGCTGGGGGTGTGGAAAATTACATTTGGCATGATGAGATGCTTGATGTTCACCATATTAAAGGTTCTAAAATTACAGAGAGCGTTTTGAAGGGTGCTGACAACTCAAAGGACAAACATAACAACCTTGAAGAAGAAAAAGGAATAGAAGGATGCCTCAGGCTGCTTCCTTACTGATGTTGGTGAAAGTTAGCTAATCATGATCTTGATGCCTTTGGGACTACACTTGATGCCAATGTAATGAAGAAGGCAAATGACCCCAAAGTAAACTTACTTAGGAGACACTTACCAGAAAAACAAGTTGAACTCTATGTCCATTGCTACTCACATCACCATCAGCCATGTTTACATGAAATTACAGCCATGAAACAAATATGAGAAACCCCTTAAAATCAGGGGTGAGTGTGCTGTGTCTGTTATTTATGGATTAAAAAATTTGATAATACCTATCAGGAAAAAAGTCTTTTAATATGTTTTAAATTCTCCACATTAAGCTATCTGAAAACATCAACCACAGCATGCAGTTTCATTAACCAAAAGCCACTTAAACTCGTACCATAGTGAAGATTTACAACTTTAGCAAAGTTTAACTTTTCAACAGGGGGAAATAACTTCTATTCCAACTCATAATCTTTGTTGGCTTTAGAGTTAAAATAGCTCCACCCTTAACTACACAAACCTACAAAATTTACTTTTCGCCAACCCACAAAATAGGTATGATATGAGCGCCCCCTACTGGTACAGCACTACTCCCACTTCATGAATACAGTGAAGGATAGCTCCTGTGAGTCTTAGGGGGAAAAAAAATTGCAATTTACTATTAAAGAAGAGGAAAAGCTAAATGAGCTTTTAAAAACCAAACAATAATCCAAGACAAAACAGAAAATAACTCTTCTCACTTTAAAAGAATCTCTGTGAAAGAAAAATGCACGACATGTTTACAAATATTTGACAGCATCTTTTAAATCCTTGCCCAAGATTAGACAGGCAGAGTGAATTAAATGGCTGTCACTCTCAGGATGAACTGGAGTCCTTATTGATATTCAGACATCACAACAAGCAGAGCTTAATTGTAGTGATGCTTATATATTGATAATAAGATTTTCCCCAAATACCACATATGAAAATCTGCAGGCTTTAGAGAAATAAGCTAAGGAGCACCACGGAGGCTGAACAAAGTCTATGGGTGGGCCTTGGGCTTTCTGCATCTGGAAGTGACTTTCTATATTGCTCTGTGAACTGGGAAACTGAAGGTGGAAGCCATAGGCTTTATATTTCCAGTTACTCAAATTAGTTGTCTCCAGAGTAGAAAATCCAATGTGAGAAAATTGATGGCAAATATAGGTAAAGCGCTATTGTGTGGACATTTACATTGACAAAGAAGGAGAAATGCTCCAAAGGTGTTGCTAGTGATAAGCTGTTACAGAAAAAATATAATGAAAGAAATGAAACTCCCACTCTTTGAGTCAGCAGAAGGGAGCTGTTTCATGATATTTGCTATATTTGTAAGGCTGCAATTTGATTATATCTGATTCTGTTGTCACAATCTGTTACATATCCTACATAGAATATAAATATGTGAAGCCATTTAAAGGCCAAATTATGGAGCTGTCTATTTTTATATTTTATTTTTTACTGCCATACCAGTGATGGTACTTAAATTGTATAAATTTTAAAAGGTAAGTGAAAAACAAAATCATCAATATACTCAGGCTTTATTGAAAAGCCACTAGTTAACAACCCCAAAAGTACATCAATCTGTTTCTCTCTTGAAAGTCTGAGAAAATTACTTTAGATGAATATAGTAGGCTCAATGCATGGGCTTTGGTTTTTAAAATAATGCTTTTTATGACACATTTTCATGTCTTAAAAGTAAACCTACACATTCATTTATGTTAAATGGGCATGGAGAACTTGGCGAGTGCTAAATGACGTGATGGGGTTATTTCTTTTTCTTCCCTTTTCCATATCCTTCTTTGCGTTGGCATGTAACATTTTTGTTCACACCAATAACAATATAGAAAGGAATGGGAAATAATGAGGATAGACATGGCCCCCAGGACATCTGTCACCTTCTCACCACCTTTGTTGCCACCATATTATTCAGGTCAGGATCCTCTTTGCCTGCTCCACTATAATAATCTTTTTATTGCTTTCTTTGCACCTACTCTTGCCTCATCTACAATTCATTCTCCACACAGATGCCAGAGCAATCTTTTGAAAATATAAACCGGATTATATTACTGTCTTCCAAAGGCTTTCCATGATGCAATGAATAAATTCCAAATTCCTTACCACTTCCCTACTCTCCTCTTCTACCACTTTCCTGCTCATTCACTATGCTCGGGCTGCACTTACCTTCCTTCTATTTCTGGATTTCACTAAGGCATCCCTTAGGGCATTGGCCTGTGCTCTTCCCTTTGCTCCGAATGCCCTGCCTCTGATCTTTGTGTACCTTGTTCTTTCTACTACTTAAGGCTTCAGTGAAAATCTCACTCTTACCACAAAACCTAGTAACTTTGCATAACATCACTGTTTTACTTTCTTAAAAGTAATTACAGGCCAGGCGCGGTGGCTCATGCCTGTAATCCCAGCACTTTGGGAGGCTGAGGCAGGTGGATCACGAGGTCAGGAGATCAAGACCATCCTGGCCAACATAGTGAAACCCCGTCTCTACTAAAAATACAAAAATTAGCTGGGCGTGGTGGTATGTGCCTGCAATCCCAGCTACTCAGGAGGCTGAGGCAGGAGAATCGCTTGAACATGGGAGGTGGAGGTTGCAGTGAGCCAAGATCATGCCACCGCACTCCAGCCTGGTGACATAGCGAGACTTCGTCTCAAAAAAAAAAAAAAAAAGTAACCACACTCTGAAATGTTTTTGCTTATTTATTTGCATGGTTCATGTCTGTTTTTTCTCTTCTGAATTAAGCTTCCTGTGAATTGGGACTTTATCTGTATCTCTAGCATCTAAAATATGGTTGGCACAGAGTATAATAATATTATGCTATGTTATCAATGCTCAGAGTACAAATATAGCAATATATAAAAGTTATTAATACATACTAGCAGAATGAATACTCTGAATAAAAACTGTGTGTGTGTGTGTGTGTGTGTGTGTGTGTACCTGTGCACACATACTTGCATGTGCAGGAGACTAGCAAGCCAAAGACACATCACACAAAACAAATAGCACAGATGTTTCTATGACTAGTGCCGTATTTCTCCTTAATAGAAACACCTTACTTTTAACCAAAATAACATATTTAACATATTTTAATATGAAAGTTTATAATTTTCTGTTATAAATCCTTGACTTTAAAAAATAACAGACTACACATAAAGACAGTGGAGAAAAGGGAAACTTTGGAGGTCCAGGAGCCTGGGTGTAAATCCTGGCTTTGCCACTAACACTACCTGATGTTGCATAAATAACTTAATATCTGTGTCTCTTATTTTCTTCACCCAGAAATGGAGGTGATATGTCTTTCTTGAAGAGTTACAGCAAGTACTTAACATATGGCTATAAAATGCCTGACACATAGTACGTACTCATTATAAGTATATTAAAACAAGATAGTTTAGTCTCTAGAGTGTTATACTGGGCTTATCAATTATGGGAGAAGATAAGCTGTATGAACTTTTGTGAGTCATACAAATACACACACACATAAAATTTGTAAAACAACAGTGATGTGTCTTTGTCAGTGTTTCTATAATTACCCCCTTTGAAAGCAGCATACCTAAAAGTAATATACTATTTGAAGTACTTTCCCATCCACTCCCTTTCCTCTCCAATAACCCCAGGGAACAGTAGGCAACTACTGCATTTTTCTTTTGCATAGTCTTGTCTCCGAGGTAAAAAAAAAAAAAAATTAGAGACTTTGTCAAAAAGAATGCTCCCTCAGCATTAGCAGTAGATACTGTGTGCTAGAAATGTCAGAAATCATACTTTTTAATTCTCAGATATTTAGAGGTGAAAACTACTTAGAGGAAGTTAGACAAATATCTCTGAATTTAGAAAAAATTCAGAATTAGTTGAAACAAATACAGTTTTTGAAACATTATTCAGTGTAGTAGATCCCCTTTCATACATTCATTTGCCCAGTCCTCGGGTGTTCACTGAAATGGGCTTGCCTTTTATGACTGTTTGCAGGTGAAGGAAAAGGCACCTGTTTCTAGTTCGTGACGCAGTGGGAGTATAGGTGTGTTGAGCCAGATGAAACTTTTAACTGTTGGTTATTTGAAAAGAAAAATAAGTGAAACTAAGTGGCTGTGAATTTGAATTTTTCTCCCTTTCCAAGCATTGACATTGTTTGTCTTCCGTTTTATGCTTCTTACTCCTTGTCTTGTTCTTCTACCTCCCCTCAGGTATGGGAATTGTTCTTACAGAGAGGGCTCAGAAGAGAGTTATCGGAATGCCTATGTTGCCATACCATGGCAGCCTCAAAACTCTTTATGACTTTCTTCTTTGAAATGTACACATACTTCCCAAAATATACAAAGACTCATCCAGAATTATGTAATGGAAAATGGAATATAGACTTTTTAGGGATTTTTCTTACAATGTATTACATTCCTGTAGAAATTCCCAAAAGATTTGCATTAAGACAGGTACATATTTGTAAAAGATATTGAGAAAGGAGAAATATTTCAAAGTGATAAAAATATTTTCAATATGTAAATTATTTTAAATTTCAGGCTTAAGGCTTTAAGTACCTCTAGTCTAAGGCTCAGGAGGAAACTCAAGCAGTTACAATACTAGACCATTCCTCAGGCTCCACATGCCCTGCAAAACGGGGCAACAAAATGGAGAGACTCCAGGGGCCAGGAGAAAAATGGATGGGATTAGGGCAGAGTTTCCCAAAGTGTGTATCATAGATGACTAATCCCTTTGAATTTTAATATTATTGCTTAAGAAAAAATGTTTCATTGTCAGGTATTCTTTTAAAAAACACGTTTCAAACAAAATTTAGCATATTTCTTACTTCAAGATATATATGAATTTTTTAGAACAGTTTTTTAGAACTGAAGAGTTTCCTGGGATACAAGCTTTTCAGTGCTAAAATCAGAAAAATCCTGGGCAAACTGGCACTGGTTGGTCACCTTATATATGGCTCTTGAAAAGGCATCAAAATATGTTGCTTTTATCAACCTCACTTAAATGGATACTCTTTTCAGAATAGCATCTTGAGGCATTCAAGTCCCACAGAACACATTTTTAAAAGTACCGGAGTAGAAGAAGGCTGTCTAATTCTCCTAGTCAGCAGAATGAAGCATTGATTTCAACCTTTGTCTTATCTGGCAAGAACGAAACCTATTTTTCCTAATAAAATATCTAATGGCAGCATTAAATGCTATTTTAGATGGGTGAGAAATATGCATGTGGTGGTGGAGTTAGGAAAAAAAATCTCTGCCTGGAACACATTTTTCTTTATTTTCTTCTGAAAACATGTGTTGGGCGTATAGAAACAATCAAAGGGAGAAATGCATAAACTTAGTAAATATTGTATATGTTAATACTGAAATGTTAAGAGAATGTATAAAACTAATACAGCCTACCCACGCCTGCAGCTATTTAAAATTCCATCTTTTTTTCCCTTACTTAAACATTAAAACTTTTCTACAAAATGCTGAACATCACTGCTTTCTCCTTTCTCCTTCTGTTATTTTGCATAGAAAAGTCCTTTTCTCTTCACTAGTTTGTTCTTTTACCTTCTTTTTCCAAGTTCTCCTTTTTATCCTCTACACTTACATTTTATATTCGATCAGAGCATTACTACATTGCTGAAGTTTCATGTGTGAAGCAAACAGATGAGATAAAAGAGCATGAGGACAGGGGTAGGAGATCTGGCTTGAAGTTAATGGATGAAACAGAATCACTTTGCAGGTTTCTTCAGAGATGATGTGTATTATGGCATTTCCTATGCCCACTCTCAGTAAGTTGAGGGTCATAGTTAGCAATTACTGGGAAGTAGAAGAGTGGCTTCCGTGTTGATGCATGCATCAACTAATTGTATTCCTAGCAGTTCACATCACTTCCCTGACAGTTCATTCATTCATCCCTTAATTTAACAAGTATTTAACAAGCACATAGCACACGCCAGACACAATTCTATGAAACGTTGTTGGTTGAGTCTTTACTTTCAGTCTGCTGACAGTGATGTGACTTACTCTAAAATCATTTGATCTAGAATCCCCATGGCATCAGATGGAGGCTCCATTTTTCTCTCCATATATCTTTGAGTATTTCAAAAGTCAAATGCTCAAAGAATTCTATTCTCTTTGCTCACAAAAGTAAGAGACTTTCTAGATATGAGGAATTAATATCTAGCATTTTATTTTCCAAGTAATATGCTTTGATGGTTAAAGTAAATTTTATGAACTTTATCATAAATTTACTATCATTATAACTCCTTGAATATTCCAAAAAGACAGTCCCCTGCCACCCACCCCCCACAACTGGTTCAATGTCAAATTAAATGAAGGCATCAAATGGAATTCCAAATAATACATTCTCTGGCCAAAGTCATTTGGGATTTGAATAAGTAATTTGGATGTGGAATAGAGTATTCATATAGGTGAAAATTACCTCAATTACAAACAAACTAGCTAGAATCCTAAAATATCTTCAATTCTTTTCTTTCTGCACACTACTTTTGGAGAATGAGGTAGATCACAAGTTCATATACTGGTATTAGATGACTCTCAGGCTAAGCTTGCAAACCATTTTTGCTAGGCTCCTCCTGGCATGCCATTATTTTTTTATTGTTGTTGCTGGTTTTCAGTCATCTTTTATGAAGTTAAAATACTTCTACAGTTATTTTAGTACACAAAACCATTCATATCCAGCTTTTAATTTAGAATTTCAAATAATTTAAATGGCAGCATGCGAATGTGAGTGGAAACATTTAGAAATTTAAGCACACTTTCTTTTTAAATTTTATTTTTTTGTTTAAATTTTTGGTTTTATTTGGAGATGGGGTCTTGTTACATTGCCCAGGCTAGAGTACGGTTGCTATTTATAGCCACTATCATAACATACTGCTGCCTCTAACTCCTGGCCTCAAGCGATCCTCCCACCTCAGCCTCCTCGGTAGCTGGGACTATAAGCACATGCCATCACACCTGAATTAAGCACACTTTTTGTTGTTAGTATTAATGCATTGGTTCAGCTGAGCAAATATTTAACAAAATTCTACTAAGCACCAGGCTTTCTTTTCTAATATACAGGTATTAATAGTCATTAGCCTGAGGCACATATAATACACAGACTATTTGAATGAATCAGACTGATGATACAAAGTATAATTGATGAGAGACATGTAGTCCAACCAGAAGATTGAGGACAATCATCCTGATGTAGATTTTCATTGACTTTAGTCTTGGAATATGAATGATGTTTAAGCAAAAACATGGGAAGGGTTTTGGATAAATAGAAGAACATTAGCAAAGCATGGAGGTATGCAATCAATTGATGGTCTATCCCACTGAACTACTATCAACAAAAAGTTATACTGGAGTGTCAAGTCTGAGGTAGAGAAAATGAATGATGTGAATGGAGAGCCAGGAACTGAACCAGTTCTGGTGGTCTTTGTATCTCCTGTTGGGAAGACTAATTTTTATCCTAAGGATGATGGACAGCCATTGCTGAATTGCAAGTAGGGGAATTATATACTTAGATAAGTATTCTATGTAAATATTCTGACTGTGCAAGTAAGAAATATTTTACGTAGGCAAGTATGGAATTGGGGAGGCCTGTTAGGAGGCTTTTTTCCAATGCTATAGATGAGAGATACCTAAGGGCTGAAATATACTATTGGTGGAGGGTCTGAAGATATAGATCTGAGAACTATTCACAATGGAAAATCCACAGAGTGTGCTGACTTGTAGAATTGGACCCACTTTACAGCTCTGCCACATTCTATTTCAAAGCAGTTCTGGCATAAGGGAGCTCTCTCTTACTGAAAGGCCAAGGGAGTTTCCTGAATCAATGCCTGAATGTGGCTGGGCAGCCTGAACTTCAAAGGCAGTGTGGGCATGAGCTTCCAGAATATAACCATTTAATATCACCCCACTATTTAAGATGCACTATTTAACTGTACTACTAATTCCTTTTTTTCCTTTAAACTGCCAGCTGTGTTTCTCTTTAATTATATTTTAAAATAACAGCTATTTTAAAGATAACCACATTGAAGTTGCTATTACAGTTGTCTTTTGAGTAACTGAATAAAATTCTCAACACTGTAAAACTCTCTAACCCTTAAGGATTAGATCTCAAACTATATCACGAGGCTCAAAGGGGCCAGAAAAGATGACACTGTATAGCTCCACATGTCCTTTCAACGAGTTGCCACCACTACCACTTAAATCAGTGTGTCAGAAATTCTACTTGCCAAAGGTCATATTTTTCTGCAAGTGCTATGTTCTCTGGAGAGGATAGTCAGCATATCTGTAATGACTTTCACACCATCTCAATGCCCACAAGAACATGCAAACTTCTCAATGTTGCCAGGACCAAATATATGCAGAGTACACCATTTTTTTTTGTAGATGCAATTATAGAAATGGGTTCCCTCTCCAACTGATTCCACTAATATGTTCCTTGTGTTTGTGGCCTTCACCAAAAGAAGGTAACGACAGAATAGCAATCCAGTCAGACAAATTACAGGAGAAACGAGTAAGAATGCAGCTGGAAAATTAGAAGAAAATAGAGAAAAAGTTCAACTTTATAGGAAATATTATTTAATTTGGAATGAATGCAGTTTAAATAACCAATCTGCAGAATAGGTTTGTGGAAGCACCAGGCCAACATTATTTGAAATCCAGTTAATTCTCCCTTTATTCTTTTCAGAGAGAGATCAGCAAGGAACACAAAATTAAAAGATTTTTCAGAACTAGTTTACTAAGTGACAGGCACTGGAATAATTCTTTTGGTTTGACTCATTGAGCCAGGATGCCAACATTATTTAAACATATTGTTTTCTATTTATTCCTGGATTTTTTAAAATCCCAAAGCTGTAACAAGTGAGTGTGTAATTTACCAGAGAAAATGAAATTGCTCTTTGTTAAGTACACATTGAAAATCATATCCTATAATATGTATTGTTCATTTAGTACATTGAAAGAAAAAGCTGTATTTTCAAATCCAAATTTGAAACAAATTCAATGCAATTTGGCATGCACTGCAGCATGCAGAGACATTCCTATGCCTTAAATACTATCTGGAATTAAAAATTTCAAAAAGAAGAAGGATATCTTAAATAAAACCCCAATATAAAAATACCTTATGAGGATTAAAAATAGATTTGACTACAGCAAAACCTAGGATATTTTCTCAATATACTCAATAAAGGACCATACACAAAGTCCCTCAGATGAGTAGCAGAGTGAATGTCTAAAATAGACAAGAGATACTGTGATCCCCAAATCAATGACAACAAGAGAAAAGAAACTTTATCTTTTTTTTCCTTTTAATTGCACAGGTCTCCCTGCTTTCTCCCTTACTCTCTTACTTCAGCAAGGCATGTTCTCAACACAGCAGCCAGAGTGATCTTCTAAAATCACCAGTCAGATTACAACATTCTCCTCTCCTTCAGACCCTTCCAATGGCTCCCTGCTCACCCAGAAAAAGAACTTTCTGTTTCTGGCCTTGAGGGTCACTCCCACTCTTTTTCCACATCTTCAACCAAGCATCTTCTCACTCATTTTAGCCCAACTAACATCCTTGATGTTCTTGGAATATCCCAGACATGCATCTGCTTCAGAGTTTTCTCATTTGCAGTTCCCTTTGCCTGCAATGTCCTTCTCTCCCTCATCTGCAGGATTTGCCCCTTCATTCCCTCCTGATCCTTCTCCAAGGCATTCCTGATCACCCCAAATTAGTAACCTCTCGTTTCCCTTCTATCACTTTCCTCTTGCTGCATCACACTCATTACCATATGACAATCTGTGTTTTTCCTTTTTTGTTTACTGCTCATGTCTCTTTCCAAGAAATAAGTTCTACAAGGTTAAGAATTCTGTTATTTTGTTGTTGTTTTATATTTTACAGATCTTAGTGGATACCATGGTGCAATGTCCACCTTCTTCCCTCCTCAGCTACTTAGAGTATTTCACTCAGATAGCTTACAGTTGAGTCCCTCTCCAGGTCCAGTCTGCAGCTGAAGAGAGCTGCCTGGCCCACGGTATGCTCCCTTTTGGGAACTGCTCACATCTATGGTGATTAATGGTGGGGTATAAAAGCTCAGCCCTGCTTTTCCAATTGATGACAACTCATAAAGGCCATCCCATCTTGAGAACTCATATGGGCCACGCTGTGTAGCTTTTTTTTTTTAACTGCACCAATTCAAATTCACCCTCTTCCCAATCTTACTTTCTTCCCTTCTGCAGATTCTGATCCTGAGAGCACAAATCCCTAAGTTTCATGTGCACAAATCTCAACTTTAGAGTACTTTCCTGCATACCATGCCAGGGTCACAAGTAAAGAAATGAAAAACATAGAGTCTAAGTAGCCTGTCCAGGATCAGCAGCTACAGTAAGTACTGGCCAGTAGCCTGGCTAGTAAGTGGTGAGCCAGGATCATATCCAGAGTCTAGAGCTCTAGAATATGTGCTTTGTACCACTACCTTCTACTGCTACTTACACAACTATCCTATATATATTTTTAGCAATGATTTAAAGTATCTCAAATACCTTAGAGTGAATACTTACAGAAGATCAGGAATGGGATTAGGGTTAGATAAACAAAGGGGAAAAGTAATAGAATAGTTGGCAATCATTAAGTCCCATGGACTGAGGTGTGTGATTAACTTAGATAATTACATTGAGTAGAACAGATGATTTCAGAATCAAAAGTTAAAGTGGGAAGGGGATGAGGAGATGTAATAATAGAATGTCATCGGACTGCTGGTAGAATTGATGATTTATATAAACCATAGAAGATGATGTCTGGTATAGTTGTTGCAAAGAAGTACAAGAGGTAGGGCAATCTTGCAGACTAGTTTCCTTCCTTCTTGAAGTTCAAGGACTGGCTTAGTCACCATATTTACTGCATAAAGTGCTCATTCTTTCTGATCTTCATCTACACATCCAAAAGCTGTTGCTGTGGTTTAAAAGGGTGGGATAAAGACAGGATAGCTAATGGGTTCAAAAATACAGTTAAATAGAAGGAATAAGATCTAGTGTTTGGTAGCACAACAAGATGACTATAGTTAACAATGACTTATTGTATATTTCAAAACAACTAAAAGAATACAATAGGAATGTTCCTAACATGAAGAAATAATAAATGCATAAGGTGATGGATACCCCAATTACCCTGATCTTATCATGATACATTGCATGCTTATATCTAAACATTATATGTACTTACAAATATGTACAACTATTATGTGTTCATAAAAATTAAAAACTAAAATAAATGCTATAATAGTGCTTTCTATAAACTATACAGCATTTTATAAATCATTATACATGAACATAGGGATTCTTATAGATTTAGCTAGTTCATATTTTGACATCAAGCAGAATTGTAATAAAATCTTCCCATCAATTTTGAAAGAATCTCTTTCTAAAAAGTTTAATCCCCTAAGAAAAATTTTGCAATGCTTAGTGCCCTCACAAACATTCTTTCTTGTAAGTATACAGAATCTCCTACATTGTGACTCCCTCCTACTTCTTCTTTATTGGTTTTCTATAAAGGCAATATGCCTGCCACTGTAGTTTTAAGAATAATTATGTACTGTTTTGAAATTTTAAACATTATTCCTTATTTCTTACCTATCTTGTGTAACTGCATTTCCTCTGGATGCATTTATCTTCTATTATGTGTATTAACACAGTGATTCCACTTGCTTTCAGGAGTCAGAGCTAGCTGTGTCTTCTAAATACTAGAAACTGTATTGGATTCTTAGAGTTATTACTATCCCACCATCAATACTTTAAGCCATGGACTTAAAATCACTAATTAAAAGATTCAAAATTCTAATTAAACCCTTCGGAGAAATTATATTCTTATAGTATATGGGAATAAAGAGCAAAGGTAACATAAATTCTTTTAATTTCATTTTGAATTTTTTGGAGTTCAAAGTTATTTGCATTACTTAATTTTAATCATCTTTCCTATAGATACATATTACTGTTTCACTGACAAAATAAGTGAATCTCCCAGGAAACTGAGAGCAAAAATCAAACAGGCATTCTTCAAGTCAGCTAAAAATCTAGAAGGCAAATCTCCTGATTCATAATCCAAAGCCATTTCTATCATACTACACACAATGATTAACTTTCTTTTCCTATATATAGTTTTTAAAAACCCATATGGATGATTCAGACAAAAGTTTGTAGCATCTATTTCACATTCTTAAGCAATGTGCAGAAATTCAGAGAGCTATTACTGCTCTACTGGAAGAAAAAAAAAGTTATTTTTATTTGTAAAAACGTATTCATGTGTGAAAACAAACTATAGCCATGCTGATAACAAAGGTCCCTTTCTCCTCCCTTTTCATTTTCCATCATTCTCACTTTATTTTCCTCCTTCTGTTTGCTTTCTATATTTTTCCAATTTTGTTATCCATTACATGGTCCTCATTCATTCTATCTCTATTTCATTACTCCATTGCTATACTGTTCTTCTTTTAGGTAAAGAGAAAGTAAGATGGATTTCAACCTAAGAAGAGCTGAGATAAGATTTCAATTGAAGTTCAGATGGCTATACGCTCATCTCCAGCAGAACAGCAGCTCTCAGGTGTGGCAGAGCAAAAAGAGGATAGTTTCTGCTTTCTTCCCATATATATTGCCTGGGAAGAATTTCAGACGTGTCATGCTTGGTAGAATTTCTTTATTAAATCAGTATTTCAGCAGAAGTTGCTTACAATTGACACCTGTCAGACTTTGGCTGTAATGTGAGCCCAAGCGCTTGGTGGGGGGAACAAAACATACAACCATGATGAGGTATGTTGTGTTTGCCAGACTTTGACCATGATAGTGGAGAAGTGGAAAAGGTATGCTGGTTGGAGAGGGAATTAGTACAGCAACATGGAAGGGAAAATTACTTAGCCTTTTACAAGCATATTTTATGGAATAAATATTCAATTCCTTGTTATTTACAGTATATTTAACATTTTATTTCTTCAGAGGAATAATTTTCTTTTCATAATTAGAATCATAATTTTTTCCATTGTGTGCTCAGAAGAGAATTTACATGTAATCTCCATGAGTGTAAAGAACTGTGTCATATTCATCTTTACAGCCCCAGAAATCTTGCAAAAATACCTAGGTTATAGTACTACCTTCCTTCAAGTCAACCAAATTACTAAATATTATAAAATCCACATTAGAAAGACAAGGATTTTTTTAAAATTATCTCCATGTTTCAAAGTGCTTAAAATATTTTTGCCAGTTTTTAGCAGTTCACATAATCAGAAATAGCAGCCCAAGATCTACAATGTGTTGCCATGTAAACCTTTCTTGTTCTATCCAATATGTATATGAAGCAAATGTCTTAATTATGGACATCTTTGGTAATGTTATATGAAAATAATTTGTACTGGAATTTTTTCATTAAATAAAAACCATATGTCAACTGATTTTCTACACCAAATTTATCATAACAACAATTATCTGGATAATTCACATAAAAATAAGGCTTTTTTATACAAATAAACATAAATTTAATTTGACTTCTACATATCCAACAATAACCTATTAAAGAATTATCTTAAAATTGTATATAAATATATAAATTGTATAAGTAAGTTCCGTGCTTCCTTTTATCTCATGAAATAAAAATATACTTATTGTATCTATGCTGTGTATCTTAGATACATTTTATTTCTATAAACATTATCATACAACTTCCCATAAGATGATATTAAAATTTAACTGTGGATTCTGCTCATGTACAGCAGGATAATACATTTATAATTATTTTGATAGTTAAAATATGGTTTTAATTTCACCAGACTTATTTATTTTTCAGAATCTAACAAAGATCTAAGCAATACATAAATATTTAAAAAAAACAGTAATGGAGATATTCATAGCATTGTCTTTATAATATGACTGAAAGACTTATAGAGAAAAGCAGGGGTTAAAAATTATTCTTTAACCACCCACACACCTCTGAATTTTGAGAGGAGGCACCTTTAATACTTTTTCTTCCTGCAGTATTTGTTGCTTAAGGAAGTCTGTGGGTGGATAAGAGGTTATTATCCCTCCTACACACACCCGTTTTCTTATTTACAACATTAAACTTCCATATATAAGTACCTGAAACACCAATCGTTTTCTTTCTATCACTTTCTCAAATTCTTTGGAATTTGGACCACATATTACCTCCCTATAGCACAATTCACAGTTGTAGTTTATCTTGAATTTTTTTTTGTCAGGTGTGAATCTATCCAACAAGTTTATTTGATGTAGATGCCTTTCAAAACAAACGTTTTTGTTCGAAAACAGAGTTCCATAAATGGCGGGTCCTATGTTCAAAACTAATAATACAAAATTATCTTTTGTATTAATGAGTTTTCTTAAACACTAAAAGAAGAGGATACAGTCAGCGAAATGCGACAGCCAAACATTAAGATTTGTATGAAGTATTTGTATCTTATTACTCTACAAATTTCCTTTAGGAGAGAATGCATCTTTGTGGGTCATGTTGGAAGCACAGTAAATGTGTTTTATCTCAATACAGTTAACTGTTTGAATTGTTTCAGCTGAATAAATAGGTCAATGGTTGAAGATTTTAGAACTCCCTATAAAATGTACAATAACAAGTTAAAATAAATTTTATAAAACCTTTATGTCCCTTTTATATTGCAGTAAAAATGTTCTCTCAAATGCAGTAAATGACAGACATACCCTTGTGCAAATGGGTTAAGCTTAAATTATTTTTAGAATAATCAGGTCTAATTTTCATTACTAATGTAATATTCATTCACGCTAAAATATAGGAAAATTTTTAAAAAGTAATATTTGATATATTTTTACATGATTTTAGATTTGTAAGTTTAATGATATCATTTATGATAGTCACACATGATAAATGTTTTACAAGTAAATTTGTTCCCTTCACTCTTTTGTTCAGTGTACTCCATTTTGGAATTATATTAACTTTTGTTAAAATAAGAAATTAGAAAATAACTATTAACCATCCAAAGTGCTTGCCAAGTAAACCCAATTATTAATTAAATACACATTACTGAGAATATGTTATATAGAGATTAGTTAGAACAATCACTAGTTACAATTGTTGGATTAGCCAAACAATCACAAGTTATTCAATCACTTTTGCTTTATTCAAAAATGAAGGAAGCTGATTCTGCCCTCTCAAAACCTTGGTAATACGAATTCTACAAAAATACAGAGGAAAGTCTATCATCTGTATAAGAGAGATAGCAAGTCAAATATATCTTACGATTACAACCCAATGGATATGTGAACTGAATTTGTGCAAGTTATTCTAAACTAGGTTTTTAGGTTTTAGTTACTAAGCATTTTTGGCATCCCTCAATAAAGAATTTAAAGAAAATTAAAACTAATAGTCTTACAGACCAAAGTAACATGTAGACTAGAAAAACAAGCAGTTCTGTTGAGAAAAACCTGATCAGTCTCTAATTTTAAAAATTGTATGCAATTAGGAGCAAATACTCATCACCACAATTTTCAGAACTGCAGTTATTTAAAAGAATAAGCTCAGAATTAAATGTGTTATATGCTTTTTTTTTCTAAAGCAAACATCGGAAGTTGTTTTTGTTTTCTCCAAGTTACTATGAAGCACCTCTAACTGAAAGGAAGAGTGATTAAAAAACAGAAAAAGAGAAAGAAAATAAAGTGTTTTCCAAGTGATGTTTCACTTATATGGTATAAGTTATACATGTCATATTCATGAGATTAAAATTATTTCCTGAAAAAATGTCTTATTCAGATCACAAGACAACATAATGAACCAAAGATTTTAATATAAAACGCAACAGGGAAGAGTGAGTTTGACTTCATTTCCATTTGCATGTGCTAATAACAATGAATGAAAACTAGAAACTAGTATGTGAAACAAAGTTCACATCTTATTGTTAGAAAAATAAAGATATGAAGTACAGTATGGTAGGATAGTCAAGCAGAAAAAAGTAAATGATGATGCTTTAACAGAAAGAGAAATGAAGACATTCTTGGTATGTTTTATTTTGTCTTTAAAGATGCTAGAAAA
Source organism: Homo sapiens (assembly GCF_000001405.40). Classification (NCBI taxonomy): domain Eukaryota; kingdom Metazoa; phylum Chordata; class Mammalia; order Primates; family Hominidae; genus Homo; species Homo sapiens. The sequence continues at coordinate 192,178,089 of NC_000002.12, forward strand.
TTAACAAGACTGGTGGGTAAACAGTGGAACAGTTCAGTCTCAGCACAATATTTGCAAAATTAGGTAGTCTACATATAAAACTAAACAGCTAGAAAATATACAGAATTTTGCATAGAAACTGTTTCCTTACAAAAGCAACATTTTAAAAAATTAATTGATTTCTTATTAATAATATTCCCATGGTAAAACATCTACTAAAGGAACTGCCTTTTTTCCTGTCTTTTTTTTTTCTTTAAGATTTAATATGCTATTCTAAGGTCTTATTTTCAAAACCTCTAGGGACGCTTTCTTGGGAATACTATATTAATCAGCTAGGAAAACTTTTATTAGAAGTAGAGAAAGACTGTCCAGACATCAAAGGACTGTCCAACATCATGGGACATTGAAACATATTCTATGCTTGAGTCTTGACTGCTGTTCAGTTTTAGTCTTTAGGAAAAAAATTGTGTTTCAATCTGCTGCTGTTCAGTTTTAGTCTTTATGAAAAAAAAATTGTGCTCCAATATGCTGCTCTAATTATGTTCTGTGGGTATTGCTTATTTGAACTAGTTAAGTCTTTCATTACATAAGGAAACTTGATAAATCTTTCAAGTGTTTCCTGAACTAGATAAAGGGTGCACTAAATATCTGCCACCCTGAACCCAAGGCCTTCTTTTACTTATCTTTTATCAAATTCTGTATTTAAAAACTAAAATCAACTTGGAATAGCACATTTAATTATTTTACACAACTGAAGCAAGGTCTTGAGAGAATGCTTTTATTTGTTTTGTTTTTCTTAATCTTGAAATTATATATAGGTTGTGTTTTGTTTTGCTTTGTGTGTATAAAAGTCTAATTTTGTTTGAATTTCATCGGGAAAAGTATTTGGGACATTTACAATTTAGTTTCAATCTATAGGTAAAATCTTTATTTGGTAGTAAGTACATTAGATCAAACTTTTAAAGTTTCTCTCTCTCTCTCTCTCATCTTATATACTTCCCTAAACAAAACTAAATAATGGGAACATATATCATACTTTAGTAAAAATAACTATAGATTTAATCAAGGAAGCAAAGATAATATTTTACTTTCATTGGACTTCATTTTATCTTTTTCACTTTTATGAACTAAAGTTCCTTCAGTTTCAAATTATAAATCTGATAATTAAAACCTTGGCTATATGGTAGGTTATGTATGTCTTATTAGCACCTAGTAATTGAGAGCAGTGTCATATATTTAAAAATCCAATATTTAAATGATTTCCTCATGAATTCTTTCTTCCCTGCCAAATATGCTTACATGCTTCTCTTCAGAAGTTTTTACATTATGCCTATCCATATCAAAGATAACTTACAAACAAACAAACAAACAAATGAACAAGGAAGGTTAACTGGAGATAGAGTATGATTCATAAGTATGCCAAATAATTTGCACGGTATATACATGTACTTAATATGGTGACAATTTTTTATGGTTTCACCTTTCCTAAAATGCAAAATATGAAATTTGTCTTAAATATCTGAAATGGAACATACATAAGTAAATATACATAATAATATCCACCAGTAAATCTTCAAATATGTAAAAAGGCAACTCCTACCTCCATCTCCAGATCCTGATCCTGCATCTGTGGGGGGAAAAGTTATATTTGCTAGTAAAACATATTCAAAAATATTTATGACTTTTTAAGCTCAAGTTTATTTTCTTAGTTTAATACTGCAATAATATTGTTTGAGAAAAATACTAATATTTAATCCAAAAACGTACATTCACATCAATTTAATTTAATATCTATTAATGTAACTTCTATAATAAATTATCCATCATTTTTATTCCAGAGCTTTACGAAAACATTATTGCCCCGTTTGGAAAATTTCCTAATCTCGGCTATGAAAAATTCCTAATCTTGACAGGCTGGATTTGGTGCCATTAGCAAAATAAAGTATTAAAAATGAGATGCTTGTAACAATCAGTAAGTTTCAGAAATTAAATAGTCTAATGCGTGTGGCAAATAAACCCATAATTAAGGCTTGTATTCTTGCAAATTGCATATGAACAAAGAGAAAAGCAGTTTAAAAAGAAATATATTTTATATGGGTGTTGATATGTTTTACGAATACCACAATTGTGGATGATTCCATCTGTGTCAAATCATCCTTTGTTTTTGAAGTCAGTAGAAGACAGCTTAATTTTTGCCTTTGTGCTTAAAGTCAGATATTCACTAAATGATTCTTGCAGAAAAAATCATACTTCCTCTTCTGGATTTTTCTTTCACCACTTCTTCTCTCCCCTTCCTTCCTTTAATTACAATTGGTCAAAGTTGTCTATTTCTGGGAAGGTAGTTCCCAGAAACACACAAAATTTCAAGTTGAAATCAAAACCATTACGATTCCATCTGCTTCTGCTTCTTAAGTGTAGACATCATCTTCCTTCTGACTTTCCATTTTTGTTTGTTCACAATACATTTGGTTATGTATTTTAATGTTAATACAGGGAAATAAGATTAATATTGATATTCTCTGCCTGATGTGCCCTTATTCCACAGTGAAATCTCACCCAGGGTTCAAGACTTATACCAAATGCCACTCTTAAGAATTTACGGTCCAATTAAAATAAAACATGACTTTTACTTGTTTGCTTCCATGATACTTTATTGAGAAACACCACATAGAAAGAGGCATGGTGTTTGAAAATCCACAGAAGGCTGACAAATATGGAAGAAGGAAGGCCTTCCCAGCAGCCCTCCTGTTTGTCATGTATTGGCATTAGCAGTACCATGAAGGAGCAGTAGTTTGAACTGTCAGTCTTGTTGGAGGCCCACATTAACTAAATTTATAGGGTCTAATACTATTATATTAGAATGTCAAGTAATCAATTAACTATTAATGTGACAGGACATATGTCTTTGGATCAGCATATCTTTTCCTTAAAGGCAAGTTAATTGGTAAAATAATTTATGATAAAAATTATTCTTAGTAAATGTAGAATCAAACAAGGATTTTAATCATAAGAATTGACTGTTTAATGATAATAGACCAAGAAAGACTGATGAATTCATGTTGATATTAGAATATTCCTACCAACTAAACTGACTGTCATAAGTCACAACACCATCTCTTTTGGACAGAACAGTGCTTGGGTGCTTTTTGTATACTTTCACAGACAAAAATTTTAATTGATTGTATTTGCATTAATTTGAAAGTTTAATTCAGTATTACTTATACTCATTCAGGGCTAAATAACAGACTGTGGTATTACAGTGATAACACATTCTAAATATATTTTAGTTAAATGTATATAGTTTCTTTTAAATTTTCCCCTATAAACTTCTTTAAGTCAAGGAAAATGTGTTGTTCATCACTCTACACTTATATGAACATAATGGGAAATGCATAAAGGCTTAGGAGTTACAAACTCCAAACCTTACTCATTGCATGACAGAGAAATGTTATTCAACCTTGCTAAGCATATTCCTCCTCTATTCAATGGGTACAGTAATATCTAACCGATTGGGCTATTTTGAGGCTTACTGCACAGTAGCATATATTAAATGCTTAAGCACTGTCAGGAACATAATAATTAAAATGTACAGTAAACATCTTGCCTATTCATCTACGAGTATTCTAATAAATACATATGACTGGGGAAAATCAGAAAAAAATGCCAATAGCATTTTAGCTTGTATTTCCCACATGCATTTCTAAAACTTCAAGGGGCATGGTCCTTAAGACAATATTTGATTTGACACAAATGAAACAGCCAGGAAAAAAAAGAAGGAATAGTTTAGAAAAATGATCACTTAAGTCCATGGCATCATTATGAAATCATTATGGGAGGCTTTAATGATTTTCCTTTATTATATGATAAGTCATCCTGGCCAACTGATGATAAATAGCCTACTAAAGTCTTATTAGTAAGACAGAAACACCTAAGAAAAGAAGTCATGCTGTTAGACCTAAATCTGAGCTCCTAGTTAATGCATTTCCTACAAGGCAAAAAGTTAAATTGACGGTAAGACCATTGAGCAGATTTCACAATAAGAGTCCATTCTCTGGACAAAAAAAAATTAAGTTCAATGAAATATAATAAATATAAAGTTATATCTTCTACTGCCTATTATTCCTAGAGCTTACAACTTGCCACTTCCATTCAGTGTCAAACAGCATTAAAAAATAAATGGGAAATATACAAAGAAAAGAATGAGAATCCCTTTTAGATCAAAAGTCAGAACCCCAATTTATTTACAGTCAGACCTGGTTAATCAAAATTACTTTGTTCTCTCCGTCATTATTCAGATCAAAAACCTTTTAGATTTACAAGTCCATGGAAGATGCATTCAGCAAGACTGGCTTACTAATTAAATCCTGTAGAAATCTAAGTATGTGAATGAGCTAAAGATGGATTACTCGATTGTGATTAAATTTTCTACTTGGCTAAGTATTTATTTTCATAGTATAACCAGCACATCAGGGACTAGAATGGAAAGACTTGAATGAATCAGGAGAATGTGATTATATGCGCTGACAAGAACTTGGAGGTTGGCAAGTAAGAAAGAGAGATTTTGCTACATTGGCCATAACCGTAACTTCTGGTCTGTTTATTATAACAATTGCCTGGCAATTCTCATGTGGCTATTGTTAGAAAAGAACAGATATCCTCCATGATCTTGATCTTGAAAAAGCAAATCCTTTCCTCAATACTCTACGGTATTTGCCTTCATCCTTCCTGGTTCCTGGGATTTTACTTTTTTTCTATTCAATTTGTCCTAAAGTACTATTTCTCATTTCTTTGGTATGGCTGACTGATTCCTCATAATTAGTTTGCTCCTTGTCAAACTTTCTATATCCCCCATCCTTAGTATGAGAGCAGCATGCTGGTCCTCCTCCTTTCCTATTGGAGAAGGCTGCCCATTGACTCTCACATATTGCTGTTTCTTTTATTCATGACTTGTCACTCACAGACCAAGCAGCAATGACCTGTTTGCTTTAGCAAATAAACAAATGGAGTACCAGCCCAGCTTGCCTCCTGACCACCCTTTCATGAAGAACATTCACATCTGAGCAAATAATCCCTTAGGAGAAAAGACTACTTACAAACCAAAACCAAAACAAAACATCATTGGCCATGAGATATGATTCTATTCTCTTTCTTCTGCTAATTCTCAGAAACTTGGGTAGTCACCAGTATAACTTAGTATTATCAATTACTAACAATCAATATGCTTAAGATAATCTTTTAAAGAATATGAGGCTTTTCTCTTTGCTCATTTTCCACCCTGCCCCAGTCACTTAGCACATAACTTTTAACATCATACACTAGATTAGAAATACCTGTTATCTAAGAGGGACTTTTGAATAAATAGACTTTTCATGACACTATTCTCTGCTTCTATTTTTAGAGAAAGTTTATAATTGATGACGTTGTTATTATTCCTGAATATGCTTATATCATCCAAATTCTCAGGAATTATGACTTTCCAGAAAGATGCTTATTTGCCATTAAGAACAACTATTATGGCACCTTACAGCCTCTACAATATATGTGATTTTGATATCAAGCTTAACTTGAAAACTCAGCCCCATTTTAAAGCATTCCCCATTTTAAAGCATAAGCTCTAACAACCACTGTAGACACAAGGAAAATTTGAAAAGCTACAGAGCACATGAAGTCACTCTTTCTTCTTACTTCCTTTATAGCATTGTTGGTAAGCCATGACTAAAAAACTTTGTAGAATCCCAGGTTAATTGAGTCAGAAATGACAAATGTCACTAGAAATTATGTCCATTACAAACACATTAGTCAATAAAATCTACTAAATAGTAAGAAGACCATTTTGTAGAGCTGCTAAGATTAGACGTCAACTTCAGAGCCCAAACCTGCAAGATTGCCTTCCAGCAGATAATGCTATTGTTCAAAACAAACAAACACAAATAAACAATACAACTGTATTCATACATAGTCAGGTTTCTCCATATTTGGCACGTTGGCAGTCTATCTAGATTTCTAATTATATGTGGCTTTTATTCAACCTGCCTGTATTTCATTTAATGACATACGTACTTAAATCTACCAGTGTCCTTATGGTAGATATCCTCTTTCTTCCAAAAGTGATTTGAAATGTAAAAATGACAAAGAATAAGAATAACAAATGTTTTGAACAAAACAATACGGCTTGTCTAGTCAACATATAATCTGAATTATTTATTGGGAGATAACAAGAAATGAAAGACATGGTTTTTGGATTTGGAATCCATGCAGAAGGTTTCAAAGAAGATCACACACATACCTGTGGCACATGATCCTTCTGACACCACAAGTATCTCACTCTGCTGTTTGCATGCAGCCTGTCGCAGGTAACACTCATTCTGGTAGCTCTCCCCATTGGAGCCACACACAGGCACATAGTCATTGTTGCACTGGGAAACACACAGATGTAAGCCTATAGTTAGTACTGGAGATTGTATCCCTCTGACACGATGAACAGAAATAATCATTTACAAAAGAAACCACTTGTCTTCATTTTCAATGATTCTAATTGTGTCCAATAAGTCTTTATAAGGGCATCATTGAAAGATGCACAAAGCCAATTTCAAGTTAGCCAACCAGTCATTTGATTTAGATAGGGCAAAAATAAGCATCTAAATTGATCAGGCAATTCCCAACAAAGTGACTGGACAAGTAGCACAATAAAGATATAGGAATAAATATATTAATGCTACTTAATATTATTTTTAGTATGTAGCCCATATGACTTGATGGAAAAAATTAAAATACAGTTTAATTTCAAGCTATTAAAAAACAAAGGTAATGTCTATCTGTGCTAGGAGTGGAAATATATAGCCAAAATGCCAAAGAAATCAATTAACTCTTAGTTGTTTTTTTAATTGAATTTAATTGAATTTTTATTGAATTCTAGTCCTTGTAAATTTCCAAATAGTCAGATAAGATACTGATTTACTTATTTTTATACCTCTTTAGACTATTGTATATTGATGTGGATATGGTCTAGAGAGAAGCAAAACTATGGAACTCAGAGAAAAATTTCAACAACTACTGAACTATAAGTAAACTTTACCGACTATTCCAAAGTATGTCTATTAATAGATATTCCATAAAGAGAAAAGTTCATTTTTAAAAAACCTCATTATTAAAAAAGTACACATATTACAGTGAAAATTAAGGCAACCAACAGGGTATAGTCATCATAATATAATCATACTCTAAGGCATTAATGATACTTGGCTTTGTTCTATGCCTGCTAATTACACCAGGGATGTGATTATCTCATGATTACTACTACTTATGTGCTTCATTGTTTAATTATAAAAAATATAATGATCAAGATTATTATCTGTATATGCTCACCTATGCCAGAAACTAAGTAAGGAAAATCATACTTACAGATGCATGTTAAAAACTCTATGTTTTACTTTTGATTAATATATTTGAATCTTTGATGTGCTGTGAGTTCAGAATACATACAAAATAAACCAATAATACAGTGAGATGGGTAGTAAAGTTTAAATATATGTGATAACAAACCTAAAACCCTATCATAAATAAACCTCAACTCAAGAATGTATGCAAAAGAAAACACCTCTCAACATGTTGATAATCTGATTGATTAAAACCTGAAATTTATTATTTTACTCTATTTCCTAACAATACCTAAACCTCCTTATTCCTAATCAACTATTTAACTCTTGCTCTTTGCCTTTATATAATAATAGCTTAATTATCATAACAAATTTAAATGTCAATGTTCTTTGAAATGAAAGCCTAATTCTATAAGTTTTACTTTTTCATATATTATTAACAACTTAAATATAATGTTTTGGTAATTGTGATCAACTTTTTTCCAAACAGTAAACCCAAATGGTATGACAGTCATATTAAGATGACCATAATTACTAACAGGATGCTTTAGCACATATTTTATAAATATTCTTTATCTTAATTTCTACAATATATAATCTAGATATTCTGCAAGTCCTCTATATAGTAATTCTTTTCCACAGTTGCATTTTTGTCTCCCAGACTCAGTCTATGTATGTGATTATATTTAAAAAACTGATTTGATTAGAGCTTTTCACTAATCTTTTGCTAATGTTTAACTCAATCAGAAACTGACTTCTGATTAGGTGATACCTGTGTAAGCACTGTTTTCCAGGAGCTTTCCAAAAATTTGTTTTAATTTACATCTGAAAACTGACTCACCACAGGCCTGAGCATCTCCACTACCATCCAAGAAAGAAGGCAGGAGCAAAATGCCTGTAAGATTTGAATTTTCCAATGAGTAGTACGGAAGAGACCACAAATAAATGTGGCTTGTGCTCATGCCAGAACTGTGGCCAGCAAGGCAAGTGCAGGGATAGGTGCTTGATAAATGTGCTATGATCAGAACCAGGGACAGGAGAATGTAGGTAGGATTATGTTGATCTATGAACACTACAGTGGTGTCTGAGCACGTGGAGGAGAGACAAGAAAGAAGGAAACAGCTGGTGACATAATGATCGATAGACTTGCCGATCCTTTCAGTAGACAGAAGAGAGTCATAATGTGTCTATGGCTAGCTGGACTAGTTAACATCTCATGCTTGAGGCCTGGTATTCTTGCCCCGGGCTACCTTTCAATCTCCATCTCCATCCCTGCTTATAATACTTTGTATGTAGATTATTTGGGTCCGTGTTTTCTTCTCTCCGATCCTTAAATTTTATTTATTTATCCTTCTCAGATTACTCAAATATAAAGTCAGTGAACTGGGAGTGGAGAGTGGAAAGTATTTATTATCTCTCCCAAGTGCTAGTACACAATGCTGATATGCATCTTAAAATATCGAATAAACTGATAAAGTGCTCATATGCCGCTTCTGAGGGATGCAGTAAGCCAAATTCGAACAGTTCTAAAAACAGAGCTGCCAAGTTCCATGCACAAGCCAAAAGGGAGATTTCTACAGAGCTGAAAAGAGCTTAACTGTAGATTACTGGCATGATGTTTTTGGCCCTTAGTATCAAGACTTGCACTTATTAATATGAAGAACACCAGAAGGAAGCACGCTGTAAATCATGAAAGCTCACGAGTGGGAGTCTAGTCCTAAGTTGTCCTATCTCTTTCACTGTCTTGGTGTAGGACCTTTTGTATATTAGTTAACAATGAAATATTTAACAGGTTTATAGCCTAGTTTTCCCATTTGAAATGCTTACCTGGAACTTTTGGGAAATTAACAAAGTCATGTTTTTAAAACAAGAAATATCTTGTAATACTCACTTATACAAAGACATGTAAATTATTTGCTTTGTATGATATGTATTTTAACTAGTAGAGTTATCATCTAACTCTAACATCAAGCCATGGTGTTTCTAGAATTAGAAAAACAAGAGGAAACAGGCTAACCCTAAGCATGAAATAGCCTAACTACTGCATTAAAATATGCCAAATTATTGGAAATAGTTTTTAGTAGTATTCATGATACTGCTCAGTTTCAGATGAAGGGACGGACTCAGATGTTAAGTGACCTGCTAAAGACCACACAGTTGCCTGGTAAGAGGAAAAACAAGACTCAAGTTCAGATGGTTAGGTCCATAAACGTATGTGTTGTACAAACTTCCTCTCAGGGGAGAAAGTGATTCTATTTTTCTATGTTTTAAAAATCTTATGTTTATTTTCCAAATAAGTGTTTTTCAGTAGAAGAATTCTGTTCCAAAATGGGCTACCCACCACACTAGTGGATTCAATTACTTGGCACACTAGAATGCATGAAATTCATTTTTGCTACAAATTAATAAACATTATGTGAGAAGTTTTTCATGGGATTTATTGCTTGTTTGATTAATACAGGTTTTTTGAGCTGAGATTTCAGCATCTAGAAGCTTATGTATGACTTATGTTTTATATATTGCCAGCACCTTCCACAGAGTCTGGCATGTAGAAGGTGCTCAACAGATGTTAAGTCAATTCTGTTATATTCCCAGTTGTCAAAGGCTTAAGAAGAATGGCTTGGGATATGGTATATTTTTCTTCCAAAAGGGAAAAAAGATTAAAAAAATCTGCATATGTTCCAATCCTTTGGCCATTCCATAAGTAATTTTTACTTTTCTGTGATTTATATTTCCTTAAATGTAAAAAAATTATGATTTTAAGAGCGGACAGGCCTGTGACTATGGTGGAAATGACTCTGTGTGCCTTCCCAGGCTAGGTCATTAACGGATATAGCTTCTACCTGGCTCTTTCTTTCTCTCTGGATGCTTGACTTTGAAACTCAGCCACTATGCTATGAGGAAGACAAAACTTGCCCGTGCAAAGAGATCAACATGGAGAAGAACCAAGGTCTTCAGCTGACAGTCAGACATATGAGTGAGAACCCTCAGATCGGTATAGCACCAAGCCTTTGAATTCCCTCCCCTCACCATCAGCTAATGCCAAAGAGAGCAGAGGTGAGCTGTTTCGATTAAGCCCTACCAAAATGGCAGATTCATCAACAAAATAAATATTCATTGTCTTAAGACACTAAGTACTGGGCAGTCTGTTACGCAGCTTTACTAATAAGAACATTTGTAGATCTAAAGCACGACTTATTAAATAAAAACATTTAGTATCTGAATTAGGTAATACCTGAAAAACATAAGGCTTCATCATATTTTTAAATTATAAAGTGGTTATTGATCACTGCATGACCAGGGTTATCTATAAATATCTGCATGCATCTCCCTTCCTTTTTTCCTCCCTCTCTGCCTCCCTCCCTTCCTTCCTCCCCGCTTTTCTATCTATCTATCTATCTATCTATCTATCTATCTATCTATCTATCTATCTATCTATCTGTCCATCTACTGTCTCCAAATTTTCATCCTCATAATTACTGGGCTTAATACCTGGGTGATGAAATGATATGTACGACAAACCCCCGTGACACATGTTTACATATGTAATAAACCTTCACATGTACCCCAAAACCTAAAATAAAAGTTTAAAAAAGGGGGGAGAAAACAATTATCTCACCGGGTTGTGAGAAATAAATGAGATAATATGTTTGAAGGACAGAAATCAGTTTATTTAAAATCGTCTAAGAGAGGTGAAGGCTAATAATGTTTACTTTAGTGTTCCAGTGATAAGGCAAATTGAAAACATTATAGGTATAAAAATATATGCCCATTTCTCTTTGAAATTTATCTCTCAGCTAGAAAGACTATAGATTGCAGGCTGGGTGTGGTGGCTCACACCTGTAATCCTAGCACTTTGGGAGACCGAGGCGGGTGGATCTCCTGAGGGCAGGAGTTTGAGACCAGCCTGGGTAACGTGGTGAAACCGTGTGTCTACTAAAATTCAAAAAAATTAGCTGAGAATGATGGAGTGCACCTGTATTCCCAGCTACTCGGGAGGCTGAGGCACAAGAATTGCTGGGACCCAGGAGGTGGAGGTTGCAGTGAGCCAAGAGGGCATCACCACTATCCAGCCTGGGTGGCAGAGCAAGACCCTTGTCTCCAAAAATTCCAAAAAAAAAAAAAGGAATGCACGCTTGTACCTGAAAAGGCAGCAGAGAAAGAAACAGAAGTTTAGGATAATATATAGGAAAATAGATTTTCAATACCTCTCCCTTTTTATCAGATACTAGGGCTAAAATAACAAACACCAAAAACTCAAATTCATGTATTGGGAAAAGATGGACTCAAGAGACTCTTAGCTTAAAATATCCTATTTATTATTCTTCATGCAACTTATACTTTTCTTTGATTTTCAACTTAATTCAGCCACTCTATATTCTTGGTATGTGCAAAGTCTACATTTTCCACTAGGGAGATGTTTATTTTTTCTTGCCAGATTGACAACTATTGCAAAGCACAAACTAATAGCAGTAGTAGTACACTAGTACATTTAAAATGCCACAAGGATTACAAAAAAACAATTTACATTTTAGTTTCTTACACAGACTTGCATTCGTTTCCACTCCCCCATCTATTCCACTTAACGATTATTTAAATTAATGACAAACATGACTGGCCAATGTATGAAAAACACAAATATTTTTGTTGATAAAAGTTTTACCAAAATCTTCTGTGGCACCTATAAAATGAAAACAATTCCTTTAATAAGAAAATTATTTATTTTCATTTCGTAGCATTCATCCCTTTAGAGTTCTGTCAACCCCTTTTTTTTTTCTCCTGGTGAAATCTTAGAACCATGGCTTTACATTTCAGGAATGTTTTTCCTGGTTCATTTGATACTTTTTATGAGTTCATTGCTTTTGTCTACCCATGGTTATGAAAATAAGACAAATTTATGGAAATCACAAAGGGAAAGAAGGAAAAAATTCACAAAATTCTCTGGGACTTTAATTAATGATTTATCCAACTGTGCTTTTTTCCTGTTTAGTTAACATTTGGGTAAGTATGAATTGGGGAGTTCTCATACTCTATCTCTCTCATGTAGTTCATTGGAAGTACATAATGGCACTGTTTAATGTGGCTGCAGACCTTAGAAGTTGACGTTACATGCATATTAAATATGCAAGAATATGTTTCTGACACTATGGTATGGTCTAAAAAACTGTACAGTCAGAGCACTACTTACCCACCAGGAGGTGGTGCACTTTACAAATATCAGTTGTCTTATTATGTTTCTTAGAAAGAATAAAATAATGTCTAAGAAGGTTTTAGCATTTCTAAAAGCCACTTAAACTTTATTTAAATGTGAATTCTCTTCTCTTTCTTAGTGGGAGGTTGAATTCCATCTAAAATATTTAAATTTCATCAATAATTCTAAATATTACTTATTAACCAGATATCTAGGTCTAAATTTGAGTTTATTGTTTTTATTTGTTCTATATCATTTTTATTCTTACAATCTTAGAAAAGTTTTCATTATCTCACATACAGTTTTGTTTATGTGCATATTTCCTGGTTGAGTCATATTGTCAGATTTTAAAAGTATTTTTAAAAGTAACTTAAAATACTCAAGGGCAAATATAGGCTATTAGTACAACATCCATGCTACTTGAAGTTCTGCATGATTATATGAACACTTTGAGAGGAAAAGTTTTATAACTTACATGGTGGAAAGCATTTGTTAGCTAATGACTATACTAATGACACTAAAAGTTCTATCTTTAATAGATACTAATAACCCAGTTTTGATCATGCCAGTAGTGCAACTTCTTTCTCTCTTTGTTAGTTAAAAGAAATTAACACAAGAAAAAGTACATTTCCTGATGTTCATAAAATGACTTGTGGATCTAAATGCTCTTCTGGATTCCTAGGGGATTCAGTTCTAATTGAGTGTGGTATCTATGAAAAAGCTGATATACACTAATTAATAAGTTCCATGATTTCCAAATTAGAACAAAGTGTTGAGGTTACACTAATAAGGAGTTACCTTAAAAACCTAGTCAGGTTGCAAGGATAATAAAGGCCAAGACCATTAAAACAGATAGCAATAAGATAAAAAGATGATAGCCCCAATCAAAAAGAACAAAAGAATAAGTCCACACTTCTTACCCCCTATTTTGACTATTATCCCCAGTCAATTCACTTTTAAAGTGATGCTAGAAGGGTCAGAGAAACATAATTTTCCTTTGACATCCCAAAAGCACAACCTGAAGCTTTCTACCTCCAGCAGCATTTATAACTTTGGCATATACATTTCTCCAAAAAGCGTATGTCTTCTTGACATCAGTTGGCTCTCTTGCTAGTACTTTTGCTTGGTGCCAGCTTCCCTCTTAGCTTGCATAGCTATAAATTTCCAAGTGATAGGCTGTAAAGGAAGATTCCTGCTTTGCAGTCTCATTAATGAATTAGAAGATGCAAATATAAGACTTCTTACCTTGAACTGACAGACGCAAGTCACAGTGTCTCCAATTCTTAAACATTCCCCATCAAATTTACAGGTGTTGGTGTCACAGAGGAAGAGATCATTTTCTCTGTCATCATAACCTCAAATTCAAAGAGAACACTCCAGTCATTAAAACATCTTACAGATTTTTAACAAAAAAAAGCACTACTTTGAAGCTTTAAAATACTTGTCCTAAATTTTAAATCCAACAACTATAGCTGTACTGCAAGGTCACTGTCTACTGATAACCTCAAAATCTAGTTAAGTGATCAATATTCGTTTCCATTTTCCACAATTCTTTTCTAGTCAATTCTCCTTTAGTATCCTTTTCTGATAGTGCTATTTTTTAAAGCTTGCGTTAATACTGACAGTGGTGAATGAAAGCTTAACATTTGCTTCCTGTTTTTTTTTTATTTTTATTTTTTGCTCATTAGGTGGACAATATTTATGACCACAAAACTCCACATTTTGGAAAAGAGCTAGTGATGATCTCTGAATACCCTTTTACCATTTCCCCATCTTTAATTGTTCTTTTGCTTCAACGACTGAAACAACCCCTTATTTGAAATGTATCCAGACAAAGAGGAAACAAAGCCTCAATAATAAAGATAAACAGGCACAGTGTTTTCTGTGATGGTCTGTTTGGCTCAAATGAAGATTGATCACCTCTAAGTTAACAGGGGTGGAAGCGGGGTGCCAAGTTCTTGACAACCTATCTGCAAAACCAGTTTATTCTCTTTAGTTTATGCAGTCCCCTTTAAAATATCTGGTAAATATGTAATTTCTTGATTGCAAATGTCAACTTCACATTTAAGTTAGTTATTTCCTAAAACAATGCAAGGGCTAGGAATGAAGCAAACCAGTCTGTGTTGGACTACAAAGCCATCAACATTTCCAAAAATTGTTTTTGCAGGCTCATAATTATTACCATAATAAAGCATCTAAAAAGTGATTAGGCAATAGCAAAGTGAAACTTATTCTTTCAAAAACAACACACATGTACGCATGAATCAAGAAGTTATAGAAACATGTTGAGTTTTATTAAAATGCCAAATTTAGAAACTGCCAAAAAAGAGAACAATCTATTGACCCAAATCTAATAGGGTTGCATATCTCAACTTGTCTTTGTAAAGGATAAATTAGAATGATGCATAATAATTTTCCTTTTGGCATTTACATCAGTAATAACTAGGAACTATACAGGCTTTCACCCTGAGTTACAGTTGGTCATTCCCTCCTCTCTAAAGTTACATACACTTCAGCTTATATACATCTTTGAAAGACACTTTATTCAGAGCCAGATTTAACTACAGCAAAATTATATTCACAGAAGATGAAAAATTACATACACACTTGCTAAAACTAGAACAGACCACACCTAGGGGACAATACCCAGGCATGTTAACGGAGTTTAAAATGCCAAGGAAATTACACCACAATTCTGCCCAGTATACTACAGGCTGTCAAACCGAAATGCTATGCCAGCTAGGAGTGCAGCAACTCCCATCCTCTGGCCCTATTTAATTAGGAAGCTTCAGCAGAGCGAAGCCTGCCAAGCGTTCGCCGTCAGAATCTGAAGGAACCCGAGCGAGCAAGAAGAGTGCCTGACCCACTCCACAGAAGCCTGTCCAGAAATGGAGGAGTCAGCGCCCACTGAAGTCGGTTCCGCCCTCGGCTCGCCTACATGGAGCCTGACCAGCCTCAGTCATGCCCACTCCGGCCTGGGAGACCCGCAAAGTGTTCTTTTTCTCAACTCCCCTGTACTACCTTGAAGCTTAGGGAAGCAAAGAGAGGGGCATATCTGGACTGCAAAACCAATGTCTTTTGCCGCCTAGGAGAGAAGGGAATGAGAGAGAGAGAGAGATAGATAGATAGAGAGAGAGAGAGAGAGAGAGAGAGAGAGAGAGAGAGAGAGAGAGAAATTCTATTGAAACCCAGCTCCTCTAGAATCTGTGTGACCTGGTCTTCAACGGGAGACCAGTGCGACCTCATGGCACCTTTGCCAGGAATCAGCGATTCCCCTGCAGTCACCATTTGATTTATTGCTTTCTCGCTCATTCTTTCTCATAAAGTTATTTCTTCCTCATCCTAGTAAGACTTTTTTCTTTAATGATGACAAAGCTTCTGTTTCAGTGTTTCCCCTAGGATTGGTGCTCTTTCAAAACAGTGAACCCAGAAAACCATCCCGTTTAATATTTCTCAAAATCCTCGCAGCTCCAATGTAAGCGCAAGCATGCAAAGGTTTCCTGCTACACCTGCACTTTCTGCCCATCCCAGAACCACCCCTCACCCCCGGGCCTGCAACAGTTCCCCTTGTTTCTCTGGATAGAGGTGGGTGGTATTAGGGGTCTAGGGCAGTAGGAGGTGAGGGGCTGAGGAGGCGCGCTAGGGTAGGCTGGTCTGTGCTGGATACGCGTGTTCTTCTGCGGAGTTAAAGGGTCGGGGACGGGGGTTCTGGACTTACCAGAGCAATTCCAGCCGGTGGGCGTTTGGCAGTCACTTAAGGAGGTAGGGAAAGCAGCGAGCTTCACCGGGCGGGCTACGATGAGTAGCATGACGGGCAGCAGCAGCAGCCAGCAAAAGCCCTCGCAAAGTGTCCAGCTGCTGCACTGCCGCGGGGACTCCCACAGCACCATGACTAGTTCGTGCAACTCTGCAGCAGCAAACGGCTTCCGAGGAACACAGGATCGCGGGGGCCGGGCAGCGGGCTACTGAGCATCCCGCGGACGGCGGCAGCAGAGGCGGCGGCGGTGGCAGTGGCACCCGGCGGGGAAGCAGCAGCCAAACCCGCGCATGATCTCGAGAGTTTCAGCAACATCCAGGGACTGGGCTCAGCCCCGGAGCGAGAGGGTCGTCCGCTGAGAAGCTGCGCCGGAGACGCGGGAAGCTGCTGCCATAAGGAGGGAGCTCTGGGAAGCCGGAGGACAGGAGGAGACGGGAGTCCAGGGGCAGACGAGTGGAGCCCGAGGAGGCAGGGTGGAGGGAGAGTCAAGGCGCCCCGCAGCCCGGCAGCCGCCTCTCGAGCTCTGCCGCCCGCATCCCTCTGGCGTTTGGGAAGCAGCAGGTCCTCAGCCCGCCCGGGGTCACGTGGGAAGAGGCAGTCGGGCTCTGATTGGTGGAGCAGGATGCAGGTCCCGGGAGGGAGGGGTCGACGAGGAGGTGCAAGGATGCAAGGAGGAGGCGGCCGCGGAAGCCACAGATGGGCTCGCTCGCCAGGCGCTGGCCCGAGTGGGGCTAGGCGGGGATGGCTCAAATGAGAAGCTCGGGCTTCAGGGTGGGCTACCCGCACACTCATATACCATTCGCCTCACTCTCCGCTCCAGGACGCCCCCTACCGAAGGCGGGGTCCGGACTAGCGCCCCTCTTCCGCGCGTGACCCCGGGCCGCGAGTGCGGGCCGCGGCTGGGTGGCGTCTCTCCGAGCTGGAGATGGTGGGGGCGGAGGTGTCAGAGGAGCAGCAGCAGCAGGGCAGAGAGGGGCGAGTCGGCGCGGGAGAGGGCGTCCTGCTGGCGACCGGCGCTCCAGCGTGCGGGAGCGCGCCGCCTAGGCTGTAGGGGGATGCAGGCTGGGAATGTCGCGGCGGAGAGGCCAGGGACGTTTCTCTAGGGATTTACAGGAAAGAGGGTGAGAGGCGATGGTGTTAGAACCGCTCTTGCCGACCTGGAAGCAACAGCAGCATCTCCCACAAGAGCGTGCAACCCCAAGGCTGCTCGCCGAGGCAGCTCAGCCATCCCGGCAGGCGCTCTCCTTCCTTCTCTCTTCTCCCCTCTCTCCTCCCAGGCCCCCCGCAGCTCCGACCCAGCCCAAGCGTTCGCAGGTTTGAATCCCTCTCCTCATCACCCGCTCCTCTCCAGCCCGTAGCCTATTAGTGTGTCCACCTGGGAGGTGCGGTCAGATGTGTTTGGAAGGTCAGATTGGTCGGGACAAGTGGTCTGAGAGAAAGAGAAAGGCTCCTCTGCATACGCCGCGGGTGGGTTGCCGGGAGCATCGGCCGGGCAGCGGCGTCCGGGAAGGGGAGAGCGGGCTCCATTTGTTGGCCCAGGCAGTGACCCTGCGTTCCTTACTCGGGTCTTTGCCGGATGGCCGGTGACCTGGGGCGACGAGAGAAGGTCTAACTCGGCAGGAGTCTCTGGCTCTGCGCGTTTCTTTCATTCTCTCCAGCGGGAAGGGCAAACGGCATAGCGGGACCCGCCTTCCGTCTGCTGCATTCTTCAGGCAGTTAGACACACTCTTTAGCCTAATGGAATTTTAGTCGCCAGTAACGGGACCAAGAGCTTTCGGGGACAAGGGTGGAGAGGAACATCTTTCTTCCATGACCGGGGTCACTATTGCAGTCTCAGTGTTTTGGATGCCCCATAGGGAAGAGCTTTCTTTTTGGTGTGTGATTATTCAGTGATTCCTGTTTTTGTTTTTGTTTATCTTCTCTCCGCTCTCCTTCTCTATTCCTCTCTGTTATCCCTCCTCCTTCTTCTCCCCCCGCTTTCAAAAGCCTCCGGATCCTCCCTTTTTCTATTTAAATTCTCCTTTTGTGCCCCTCTTTCTGTGTCCCCTGAATTTAGGAGAGCATTTGATAACATTTAACAGGCAATTAGTGTCCATTCCCAATCACTTAAAAGAGGCATTCATATACTTTGAAAACGGGACTATCTATCCTTTGCAGACACCAGCAGAAAAACAAATTGTACCCGAGTAATCCTTTTAAGTACTTTAACCTCCAACCTCCTCCCACTTCCTTGCTTTTTAACTTCTCCTTTGAGAGATGTGATCGTGCAGCACCTCAGTGCCTCAACGAAATCTTTTTTTTTTTCCTGTGTGAAATCCATCCCTTTATCTTACATCTCCGCCTCCGTCCGAGACTGTCCCTCTCCCCTCCCACCTCCAAAGATTTCTGAATCTCAGTGTCTCTCACTCCTGGCAATTAAGCAGCAGATCCCAGCATTCTAGTCGGTGGCATCTCGCTCCTCACCGACGAAGACTCCATTAAAACAGATCAATTAGACCAGACGTTGGAGGCATCAGAAAATCGGCTTCTAGACAGAGCAGCTAAATTCTTTAAGGAAACAGAATACCCATTAGATAGAGCTGCCAACTAATATTGCAAAACAAGGAATTAGAAATTTCTTTCGCTACAGGCTTTCAGCAGAGAAGGCAACATAAATATAGATCAAGATTTAACAACTCTACAGCAGAGAATGAGAACATGTCATTTTCCATAGCAAGGCTGGTGTGGTAACTAATCAGGCTTATGAAAATAAGTCATGCTTGAAACTAAAGGCAAAGTCCTTAAAAGTGTTTATGCAGTAATTATGATAATGAAACAGGACCTGCTAGGATTTCAGAGTTTGGCTATGTAAGTAGAATTTTAGAGAACCTCTTAGCAGAGGAAAACTGTTTTTGAATTTTCTGCTAAGTAAATTTTTGGCATACTTTCTAATAATATATGCTCTTCCTAAGACGTTTTGCCAAAAGTAAGTTAAAACTCCAAAGGAGTTAATTACTGGTTGTAACTGGTTAACAAATGCGGTTGCTTCCACAGAGGTCCTTTAAATTATTAAACAGTTTGAAGCAAAGCCTTTTCAATGGGAATGCTGCAATTTTGTTGCACTTACTCTGTACTTAGTGTTATAGTGCCACCAAGAAACAAATTCTGAAACTGGCAAGCACCACCAAGTGGCAGAAGAACATCACTCATTGAGCAGAGAATTGTATTACTGAATATGTAAATAAAAATATATACATTATTTAGACTTGTCACTAGGTACCAAAGAAGTAGACAAGACTGCATTAGCAATTGGATTAGTGCTTTAACTTTTCCCCAGCAAGGCAAAATCAGTTTACTTATTAGAATTAAATTTAAGTCTATGAACTGTACTTTGCATTGCGTATCATATGATTGCTAGTAATATGACACAATCATACCATGTATTTGCAAAATTCTTATTTTAAAATACTATACCATATTTACTTTCAATCTTCTTGAGCTAGAACACTTTATTTGTGGCATATACACTCTAGAATTGATGCAGAGGAGCAGAGTCCAGTTGTTAGATTTTTCAGTAGAAATAGTGCAGATATATTTTCTCCAGAAAACTTAAGAACATTTTTTTTTCTCATGGAAAGAACATCATTATAAAGTGTGAGATTACTCACAGCTTAAGTAGGGGGCTTGGGAGTTATTCTCCAACAAGAATAGTTTAAGATAAATAAATGAACCTGGGAAAATAAGATACACTGCCAATCAGAACTCTTATCTCCTTCATGATTTCATACTTTCTGATTGCTTCAATAAAGGTAAGATGTATCCTTTGCTTCTTAGGTGTCAGGCATTGTGCCATGTAGGATAGAACATGTTATTTTTATTTAATCTTTAAAACACCCCTATGAGACAAAGAATATTATCTCATTTTATATAAAAGGAATATGGCTTTGAAAGCATCAGGCAACTTGCCCCAAGAAACAAATCTCGTCAGTGACACTGCTGGGACTCTGTGAAATTCTGCCTGACTTCAGAGCACAAGACATAAGTCACTAATTTCTGCTGTATTGCTGCCTGTTAGCTTCTGAGAGGGGAAACTAACTGGGAACGTATCAGTTCTGTCCATGATACTTCATTTGCCCTTTCTGTGGAGCCGCAGTAAGGCCCAAACTTTAATTCTCAAACTTCGGCAATAAGATCCAGTGATTTCTGAACCTGGTTGATCATATGAATTCCTTGAGAAACTTTGAAACAATAGACAAATTCCAAGTCCCACTATCAGGGATTCAGAAAATCTGGAGTTGGGCCTTGGGATCCACATTTCAATATTCATCCTTGTTGGAGAAGTAAGGTACCACCTATACCTATATGACAAATGAAAGGATACCTCGATTTTTGCTCAGTTTTCACAGAGAGGTTTCTGAGACAGGTTAAAAGCTTTTACTCAGTGTAAAGATGAGCTGTTGTACATGTCTGTCTCTCTGTTTTTATGCATATGTTCACCAAATATGTATTAAGCTTCTAATATGTCTGACACAGTAACTTTGTGACTGTAGACAATTTCCTCATTTGTAAAATGTGAGTAATAACAATACCTGCCTCCTGGGCTTGTTCTAAAGATTAAAATAAAAATGTATGGTTTAATGGTAGTGGATTTGGGGGGATCCCCTATATAAATAAGTGAATGGAGGTATGAATAAATAAATACATAAAGATGTGTGTACTTATATTTATACACATAATTAAAAATAGTTAAAGATGTACAAATTAAAGTTAAATGTATGTGATATTGAAGTATATGTTGATTATTGATAATGAAGTACAGTATAATTTCTAACCCCACACCTTAACATCTCATACTTAATAACTCATATCTTAATTTCTAGCCTACTTAAGATACATAGATATAGATAGAATGTTCTAAATCATTATTGCCTTAGTTTTAATGTATAATATTCATATGAAAAAGTATCTATCAGTGTGTAGTAAATGTATTAGAACATTATTTATAGGTCAAATGATATTGACAATGTTTCAGAGTCGTCATCTTCATTTCTGGATAATTTTTCAAACTGAGAGTAATTAAATTTGCTATTTTTTCACCCTTTTCTACAATGGCAAATAACATATAAACAATGAGCTGTGATTTAAAGAAATAATTTTATAATGTAAAAGCTTCCCTATGCCTTATTGATTCCCATGCCCTTAATTAATTTTGGTAGTTTAAGTTTGTGATTTCAGTGCTGAGGAAAGTTTATTTCATCTTAGAGCAGTGGGGCTCAGTCATGATTTCACATCACAATCACCTGGATAATTAAAGAATACTGATGCAGAGTTCGTATTCAAAGACTTGGAATCCCTAGAAGTGACACAGAAGCATTGGTATATATATATTTTTAAAGTTTTCCTGGAGAAACACATAGCCATGATTGAGAACCACTGTCCTGGGGAAAGTGACTATTTTCTCATTACTCAAATAGCCAAGTTTCAGGAGGTAAAATACTTACATTTTTCTCCATTAAAACTTGTAAAACACATATCTCACCAAAGACTATTAAAACATCTAGCCAAAGCAATATGAACTAGTTAATGTTTGCCACTAGCTTGCCAGTAGTTAAAAAAAAAAAAAGGAAGAACTGTTATTGGAAGAGAGCTAGATTTAATAAGCAGTAGTCATCTCTATACAATCTGGTGTCTTTTTATTTATAAATTCAAGTAGGTTTCCATTGCTATTAATTTAATCATAGCCTTCTTAGGGCTTAGCCTAATGCTTTATTTCAAACTCATTTTGAAATTTATTCTCTGGAGTCAGAAACAGGAACTAGAATCAGCTTGGAATGAAACTACCTTTCATGTCTCTCTTTGGCTACTCATGGCTTCTATTGGGGGAAATTAGAAAAAGACTTAGTAAAGGTAGTTCTTTCCAATTTGTATTATTAACACCATCCAGTATTGCATATTCTGAGCATTTTACTCATTTATTTCATACCATAAGCCCCAATCATTTCTCCCTTTATTATCTGTGACATTGATTTTTTTTTTCTCCAAGTTACTTGTTAGTGGTAGAACAGACCCCCGGAGCACTAATGTTCCCAGCCGCTTTGCTGCTGCTCTTCTACCCACTTGTCGTTCTTCTAAAAAAATAAATAAAGAAAAAATAGAAAAATGGAGGGGAGGAACTTCTTTCATACAATATTTAGGAAAACTTAATATAAACATCGCTCACTTGAAGCTTCACAGTGTGCATTTACACATTAAAGGCTCTGAGGAGCCCTGCAGTGAAATCAAGCCAAAACACATCAAGCAAAACTAAACACCGGTTTAACTTTATTGACCTCAGATTTTCTAACATTATTTGATCATGAATCCCTTTTAGCAAGAAACCACTACAATAAACTATGGCAATGGATTTCCATATATTACTCCATTAGTAGCAATAGTTTAAGGAATGAATGAGCCTTTTGAAAAGTTGTGTTGCCATTTTTAGGTGCCAGGGCTGGTCATTCCCTTTGACTTGTCTTTTCACCAATGAAGTCAGCTCACAATCAGGTCTTTACATTAGTAGTGTAAATGTTCCACAATTGTATCTTCTGATGTAATGTATTCTGACATCATAAGCATTTTCGGAAAATGATTAAAATGTTAGCCTTTCCTGTACTCCACCACATTACCGCCTTTAAAAATCTTCCTTCCTTTATTTTACCTTACATAAATTCTAAACTGGATACTGTCATTTCCTTAGCAGTGATTGTAACACAGAATCAGATACAGATTGTGTCTGATAACACTACTTTCCAAAAAACTGAGTCTTATGTTGTTGAACATGTTAAAAGTGTTTAAATAGAAAATTCAAAAGATTTAAAAGAGAATTTAATTGACTTATTTACATGTCTATACTTATTTCTTTACAGTATAAATCTGGACATTTAGCCACTTGCTGATTATTATTAGAGCTTCCAATATAATGACATGGCAAGATCACATGACAGGAGCTAGGCAGCTGTTGACTATTTGAGTTGCAGTCTTTGCCTTGACATTTATAAGCATTAAAAAGCTCACTCGCTATACAGATATCTCCCATTTTTAGATGTACTAAATGTAAAATATATAATTTTACAATAATACTATATAATATATAATAAACATCTATTGTAGATAAAGCCAATCTATAAACACTTATATTCAAGATGGATATAAGTTACTTAGTTTCTCTGAGCCTCTATATATTGTCTTGGCCAGAGTTCATTTTAATACTGAGGTAACAAAGAAACCCTGGTGTAAAAAGAGGAAGAATATGTTGTGGAACTCTAGTGGAGTAAGGACATAGATTATGGGAAGGACTGAAATATACAAATAGGAAATCATCAAGAGTTAAAGCACACTTTTAATCTTTCTGGGGCAGCATTGTCTCTATTTTTTACTTTAGCTATTTACATCCTTCTTTGTCTGCATGGACCAGTATTCACTGTGATCCTACCATCCCCATCTTGGATATAAGTGTTTATAGATTGCATTTATCTATAATAGATGTCTATTATATATTATATATGTATTATTGTAAAATTATATACTTTACATTTAGTACACCTAAAAATGGGAGACATCTGTATAGCGAGTGAGCTTTTTAATGAACTATAGAACTAGTTTATTAATAATTATGTAAATTCTCTGACTTTCATATGTAAGATTTTCTTTTTTTTTTTTTTTTTTTTTTGAGACAGGGCCTGAGGCTTGCTGTTTTCCAGGCTGAAATGCAGTGGCACTATCATAGCTTACTGCAATCTCAAACTCCTGGGCCCCACCATGCCCAGCTAATTTTTAAATATTTTGTAGAAATTGGGTCTCACTATGTTGCCCAGGCTGGTCTCAAACTCCTGACCTCAAGCAGTCCTCCTTCTGCAACTTCCCAAAGTATTGGGATTACCGTCATGAGCCACAGTGCCCAACTAGATTTGCTTTTGAATGTAAGAGTCAAATAATGTTGAATTGTAAAGATCTTTAATTTTTGCTCAGGTACATCATTCTTCATATATGTATATACAGCAAGATGTAGCAAATTGACATATACATAGTTGGCGTGCAACAAATGGTGGTAAATTAAATTGAAATGTTAAAACTAAGTGTATTAATCGACACACTTTGGCAAGAATGCATCTATTTACACTGTTACCAGGGATGGTAGTGAAATCCCCTTTGAATAACCCGGAAGTTCTTTTACCCTGTCTTTTATGGGCAAGACCTATTTTAGAGTCAAAGTCCAGCACTGAGAATGTGAAGATCAGAGCACATCAGAGGTTGCCTAAGCAAGGGATAGTGAGTTTTAACTGTTCACATCTTCTGCTTATGTGTTCCCTAAGGGGTGGTCATTGGTTTTATTGCCTCACTATGAGAGTATGTTATTTGTGTTTTGGGGGTGTTATTATGCTTTTAGATTTTTGCTATCTATGTATTCCCATGGCTTCATGTCAGGAAATCCACTACCCAATTCATCAGACCATAAAACAAATAAATGAAAATTCTCTTGATGCAAAATTTGAGGTTTTCAAATGAAAGGAAAGGAAAGAGAAAGGAAGGTAGGCAGCAGGTGATATTTGGGGACCTGACATACACAGAAACACATGTATAGACTCTATCTAATCTATCTATCTATCATCTATCTATCTTCTATCTATCTATCTATCTATCTATCTAATCTATCTATCTATCTATATCTATCTATATCTATGTATGTATCTATCTAATCTATCTATCTATATCTATCTATATCTATGTATGTATCTATCTATGTTTCTATTTATGTGTCTATGTATCTATGTATCTATCTATCTATCTGCCTACCTACCTATGTCTCTATTGGCATATTTCCGTTTATTGTGCTTTGCTGCCCCCTTTTTTTTTTTTTTTTAACAAATTGAAGGTATGTGACAACCATGCATTCAACAAGTCTATGGGTGATAGTTTTTTCAACAGCATGTGCTCATATCATGTCTCGGTGTCACATTTTGGTAATTCTCACAATATAGCCAACTTTTTCATTATTATTACATCTATTTTGGTGACTTGTGCTCAAAACTTCAGTGGAAGAAGTAACTGCAGATGTGGTGGAAATAACAAGAGAACTAGAATTAGAAGTGGAGCCTGAAGATGGGACTGAATTGCTGCAATCTCATGATAAAATTTGAAGGGATGAGGAGTCACTCATGGAAGAGCAAAGAAAGTTGTCTCTTGAGATGAAATCTACTCCTAGTAAAGATGCTATGAACATTGTTGAAGTGACAACTTAGCTGATAAAGCAGTGGCAGAGTTTGAGAGGATTGACTTCAATTTTGAAAGTTCTGTGAGTAAAATGTTACCAAACAGCATCAGATGCTACAGAGAAATGTTTCACGAAAGAGCGTCATTTCAGCAAACTTCTCAAACTTTATTGTAGTCTTATTTTAAGAAATTGCAACAGCCACCTCAGCCTTCAGCAACCACCACCCTGATCAGTCAGCAACCATCAACATTGAGGCAAGACCATCTACCAGCAGAAAGATTATGACTTGGCTGAAGGCTCAGATTATTGTCAGCATTTTTTAAGCAATAAAGTATTTTTAAATTAAGGTATGTATATTATTTTTTAGACGTAATGCTATTGAGTATGTAATAGACTACAGTGTAGTGTAAACATAACTTTCCTATGCACTGGGAAACCAAAACATTTGTGTGACTCACCTTATTGTGGTGGTCTGGAAACTAACCAACATTATCTCCAAGGTATGCCTGTACACACAGACACACAGACACATGTATATACATACATGTATATTATATATAATATATAATGTGGGTATATATATGTATATATAAACACATGTATACATATACACATTATACACAACTCAAAATTCAAATCACAAAGAGTTTATATAGAATCATCCTGGCTTTTTAGCCTCAGATCTCACTCCACAAATGTAGCCACTGTCACCAGTGTTTTGAGAATCCTTTCAGATTTGTCCAGGCCCATCATCCTGTCATACCCTCTCTTTCTCTCTCTCTCTGTGTATGTGCGTATATATATTATATATATTATAATTTTATATACACACTATATATAATATATGTGTGTGTGTTTGATTTACAAATGAGCTCTTACCATATATACTGTTCTATTTCTTGCTTTATTCACTTAACACAAGGATATCTGCTTCATTTGAGTTGATAGAATGCCATACTAGATGTCTCATAATTTATTCAGTTTCCTGTTTATGGATGTTTATTTTATTTTATTTTGAAATTAAAATTTAATGCAATTGTGACACATAATATCCTCTCTTTGCAATGAAGATGTCTACCTCATCCCCCAACCAAAAGGGTAAAGGCCACAAGGAGAACATTACTATGTGTTTACTGGGAAATGTTGAGGTAGCTAGCCAAACAAAGGCTTACATTTTCACTCTTAACTACTCTCAGTGAGGAACATGTTTAACATGAGTGCCTTGTTAGAAATGTCTTTCAGATTTACTTCATATATACTTGTAAACAAATGATGCAGTTGCAACACGATTTCTTACAAGCTCTGACTTTTTGTTCATTTGTTGTCATAATACATGATTATAACCCTAAAATCTAATGTAATATTAGTTACCATATTATATTTCAGTGTTATGTGGATGGGTCTTGAATTCTTTCCAAAGAAGTTTAATTATATCATATCACAGTAGATGCATCTATTAGACATTAAAAAAACAGTGTTTAACGTGACACACCAGCGTAGACCAAGTGAATTAGCTCTTTTCTCCTACAAAGCTAAATCTTTTCTTTCAGTTATAGAAACTTTCTTTTCTGTTCACAGACCCCTTTGACAGAACTTTACCTATATAATAAACCTGCACATGTACCCCTGAGCTTAAAAGAAAAAAGGAACTTTCTTTTTCAGTTATAGAAAGTTTGTTGCTAAAAATGGCTGTTTTTTTTTTGTTTGTTTTTTAATTTTCCAATGTGACAATTAGCCATGGATTTACAATTATACCCCAAACAGGTTTTGGGGCAATAGTCAGGACACTGAACTTGAATTCAAAAATCTTGTTCCATGTTCTGGCTCTGATCCTTGTGATTATGTAAGTCTCACCTTCCTGATGCTCAATTTCATTATATATGCAACAATATGAGGATTAAATACGATTTGTTATCTGTAAGATGCTCTGTAATAAGACAGGTATTATTTGCTATTCACTATGTACAAAGCAAAATAAGTTTATGCTATTTGATTTTTGTTGCCAAATCCTAAATCAGCAGCCATTACAATTACTGGTGACAGTTTTTCTCCAACTTTCCCAGCTCCACACACTCTGGATTAAGAAATTACCTCTAATTCTAGACCAGGGTAGATATAAAAAATGTAAATAGGTGGATCTGTGTTAGGGTAAGTGTATTATGTATTATATTACATATTAAATTTTCTATTTTTATACGTGAACTAATGAAGTCCATAAAACTAGGAAACTTTGGAAGATAGGTCCCACATATTTTAAATACAACTAAGATAATTTGTCTAAGCAGAAAATAGTAGTTTTCTTCATAATTCTTCATTTCATTGAACTTTTAACTGTGATTCCCCTTTATGTAAATTAAACAATAATTTAGAGATTTTAAACATTTTGGAAGAGTTTTGTAGCTGACATTATCTTTAAGATATTCGTGATGTATGATTTAGTGAATAGGTGAGGAAATACAATGTCATGGTGAATAGAGAAAAAGCCACTTAATTTTATGACCAAATATATTTTTAATAGGTCAACTCTTTGATTATTTATTAGTAATAACTTTAACAATATTTACACAACACTTGTTTCTTACAAAACTGTTCATATATTTCTCACCTTCCTTAAATGACAGGTATTTTCATTTCCATTTGAGCCAGCTGAGAATTAATGTTAAAAGATTTACCTAATGTTTTCTGAGAATTCAATGCCCTGTAAAAATAAACTTACCTTATGAGTTGTCAAGATGACTACAAAGAGCTGAAAGAAAGCTTCTCTAGCTAGAATATATGTATTGTAAATATCAGTTTCTTAAACCGTTATTAGAGTGTAAGCAATCACTTCCTTGTTGCGTACATTCTCTCACTTGCCAAGTTGTACTGGAAGTGGATGCTAATAACTTGCACTTGGCTTGTACTTTAATGCGTTGGAATAGCACATTTCTTAATTGCGTATCATCTAGAGCGGTCTACCAATTTAGATGAAAGAGCTCTGTTCAGCACACGACTGGGAGGATATTGTGGTGAAAAGATATCAACAATCACTCCATTAATGTTTAGCTTATACTTGCATCTAATGGGTGATAATGCATCTTACGTGACATATATGAAGATAAATTTACAGCATTAATAGGCTTATATTCCATAACGATAAGCTATTTCTCTAACAAGTCCTACTTCGCTAATAAAATATTGTCTTCCTAGTGTCATGTGATAGATAAGGGTTAGATGATGTATGTTGCTTTTATTGACAGCAACAAAATGCCTTCATCTTGGTGTACAATATATATTTTTATTATATAAAAACAGAGAACATTGTCACTGTGTGGAAAGTTACATTTCATGAAAATATACATTTGGCAACATTAAATTATCTGTCTGGAGACATGGGTCATCTGCATATAACATTTAAAACTGCAGTTTAGTTTTTAAAGCTATTTATTTTTACTCCACTTTCAGATAAGATTTAACACAAATTTAAGCCAGTTAAGTAGTCATTTCGATATCTCTGAAATTGTACATATGAGGTAGCAATCAATCAGTTCAATCATGTTAAAATTTTCTTTCTACAGACATACCCATTGAAAGTTATTTCAGTCATAAATTCCTCATCTTAAAATCACTTACCATGAGTTCTGAGCATGTGAGAGTATAAATGATATTAATAAAAAAATAAAATAAATCTTAAATTTATTGTTTTTCCCACTTCAGCATTAAGATGACAACCCCATGTAAAAAGTAATTTTAAAGTCTCATTAATTTCATGACCCATCTCACTGTGGACTCATAGGCCCTTTTAAATATATTATTAGTACATATATTTTAGGGTATCACATTATTGAGAAGTGAATAAAAGCTGAAGTTCTTCATCCCAGAAAAATACTCATAAGCTTATGCCAAAATATACACATAGTTTCAGGAGGTACAAAGACTTCTCCAAAACTCATGAAGCTTAGGATAAACACCATATTTTATGAGTTATTTTTTATTGTTAATAAGAAAGATAATGTCACCACGTTATGTAAGCCATTTTCATAAAAAAAAGAAGCAATTTGTTGTGGAAGCATGATAGTTTATTTCCAAATGACTTAGTTTAATTTATAATTATATAATATAGATTGACTCTGATAATAAAGATCTATATTGATAAGTTGCATTAGATTTCAGATTGGGGCATATATGAAGAAATATAAAACTGTTGAATGCATATATTATTACAAAAAATATTTGTATATTATGTCTGTGGTTATTTCAATATTTTTATAAATCTCTATGTAAACTTACATAAGAGGAAAAATATATTTCATACATCTGTATACCCATATAAGTTTTTTTGTTTGTTTGTTTTTTTAGACAGAGTCTCACTCTGTCGCCCAGGCTGGAGTGCAGTGGCGCGATCTCGCCTCACTGCAAGCTCCGCCTCCTGGGTTCACGCCATTCTCCTGCCTCAGCCTCCCGAGTAGCTGGGACTACAGGCGCCCGCCACTACGCCCGGCTAATTTTTTGTATTTTTAGTAGAGACGGGGTTTCACCGTGTTAGCCAGGATGGTCTCGATCTCCTGACCTCGTGATCTGCCCACCTTGGCCTCCTAATGTGCTGGGATTACAGGCGTGAGCCACCGCGCCTGGCCATACCCATATAACTTTAAGAATATGCATATTGACACCCTTGTTCTACTTCTTTCATTATTCAATACTATCTTTAAAAGTAAAATTTTGCATTAAAAAACAAACACAAAAAGCGATGTTACCAAAAGAATTTTATAGGCCACTTAAAAGTTTTAGTGAATGAAAATATTTTTGTGAGTAACTTTGAACAAAATTGATCTCAGAATCTAGCATTAGATGATTATTGCTAACAAGAATGCAGGCAGTACCAAAGTCTGCTCCAGTTGTCGCTTAGTATACCCCTCTGCACATTTTTTCTTGATTCACATTACTTGTTACAGGAGCATCCAGTGAATTTATGATAGGATGGGATAAGTAAAGGAACACCATCTATGGCAAGAGGGAGGTGAGAATACAATTTTGATCTCTATATCAGAGTCTTGTATTTAATTTTTTCAACCTTCAATTTCACTTCTCTTTTACATATTCTTATGATACAATTTTTAAAGTTATCTGAGTGCTTTTATTTTCTAGGGTAAGGTAGGTTTTAATTAGGAAGCAGACATTATTATGACAATAGCAGAAATACTTAACTCTCAAATCAATGATCTTTGCTATAAAAAAGATACACTACGTTGATGTGGGATTAATCCTAATTTATTAATAGTTTCTATTTTCAGTATATTGATTTATTGTTAATAATTTGGGACCATTTCTCATCATTTCAATGTCATAAACACAGTCATACAGCTATATAATGAAAGGTATGTAGATGAGTGTGCATGGATGTAGTAGGATTGTACATTCATTTTTTCCACAAAATTGAATGCCTGTATGAGTCAGACCCCAAGCTACCTCTGAGGATGCAGTAGGGAACAAGATTGACAGTCTTAGGGAGTTTAGGAGGAAAATGGGTTTAGTGGCAAAGATAAACATTGAATAAGTAAGGACACAAATAAGTAAATGTAATTGTGAAAATTTTCATGGAGGATTAGTGCAGGTTTCTCCTGCACTAAAGTATGTAAAGTATATAATAATATCAAGTAAGTTGATCCAGGGGCCAGGAAGCTCTTCCTTCTTTTCTTCATTTACTCATTTAAATATTGGAGTTTCTCAGGGCTCTGTCTCACCCCCACATTTTTCTCATCTCCTTCCTGCTTACGTAGAGTTGAAGGTGAACTGTTAGGGGGATTGAGTAGGTATTGCTGTTTAGATAGGGGAAAACCATGACACAGAGTGTTTACAGGAGTGAGTAGGGAACTTGCCATAGGCTTTGGAGAGGCCAAATAAGATAAGATTAAAAATGTGCCACTTGAGTTTAGAAGTTGGTGTTCACTGGTGACTCGTCAAAGGAAGTATTAATGGAAGGGGATCCAGAGAGGAGATGGTAGATTGGGAGGTAATGTGAACAGATGATTTAGCTTCATCAGACCATGAAAGCAAGCTCTGTGAGGGCAGGAATTCTGCATCCTGGGAACTATAACAATGTCTAGCATATATTGCACTAATAATTGTTTGTTAAATAAATAAATGTTATGAGTTCTGGAGAGTAAACAGGAGCCAAATTTAGTAGATCATGCAGGGTCTTGTAAGTCATGGCAAGACTTTTGGCTTGCTGCTTTCTAAGTACAGTATAATGGAAAACCACTCAAGGATTTGCTCAGAGCCTAGCCAGACTGGATTTATGTTTTAAAATGAACACAGATCCCCCTCATGTAAAATGGATTGTAACTGTGCAGGCTGGAAAGTTATGAGGCTTTTGCGGCTTTCTTAATGGAAAAAAATAGAGTAATTGAGCAAGCAATCTAAACCAAGTAACCAGAGAATGGGTGGTCAGAAAGAGAGATGTCTGAATTTTTTTGTGATGACTAGATAAATGAAGTTATAATTATATAATAAATGATAGAAAGTAGCATCTCTATTTTTTAGATTACTAATATTTATAAGTGGCATAATTCATGTGGCCTTTATCATTTATATAACATGACTGCCCTGTGATTGATGACTGGCTATCATAGTCTAACTCTGAATCCATAGGAACTACTTCAGATCCTTCCTAGAATCTAAAATAATTCATTATTTCTATAAATCAGTCATTCTCTACTAACTTATTTTGCTTTACCATGTTCCAGGCACTATGCCAAATACTGGGGATAGAATGGTAAACAAGGTATACATGGTCTCTGTCCTCACAGTTTAGAAGAAAAGACAAAGCATGAGGAATATCATGAAAGGATAAGAACTAGAAAATGTTTGGTAACATCAAAAATCAAGGTGATTAAACCTATTCTAGGAGATCAAGAAAGCCCACTAGACAAAAAATAAATAAAAATAAGTTGAGACCTTGTTATTTGGCCTCAGATGGAAATGGGGAAGAATAACATTTATGGTAAAGAATCAATGAAATATTCAGGCCAGGATTTATGCAGAGGCTGGCTCGCAGAAAGGAATACAAGGGCCAGAAAACAATGAGCAATGATGTTGTTTGATAGGCAGGAGCTAAATTGGGCATAGTCATGTAATTCATGTAAATGATATTGGACATTATTACCAAAACAATAGAGAAATAAAGAGGTTTCAAGTAGAAGAATGAAACAACTCACCATCTAGAGTCGTAAGCCAGTGCCATATTGAGGTTTCCTGCTCTTAAAAGATTTTGTTGGGCTTGGCCTGAGTTTCAATTCGTTCATCTGTGATGGAATTCAAAGTCTTACCCACAATTTCTGCAGATTACAAGATCTCACTGTCTTCTACTCCTTTCTAATTCTGTACTGCTCCAGGCTGCTTGGTGATTGTATTTGCTTTCCCCCAATGGACTTACAACTCAACTCCTTCATCCATTTCATAAGCAATCTACACATTAAATATTTCATAACTCTAGTGGGTTTTATTGTGACTTTAAGAGGTCACTGGAAAGAGACTCATCTCAAAGAAAGTGCCCCTATATCATTTACCTTATTCTATCTCATTTTCTTATCTTCTTTCTTTCATGGAGCCAGAAACAATGTTTTTCCCTTGTCATATTTAAAATTATTTTACTCATAACTCTTAGGGTCTTCTATCTTCAAGTATTTATCAATATATTCTTTCCAAAATTACACTTCTCTCTCTAAGATGAATTTTGGTGACAGCTGTTTGTATATTTTTCATCTTGTAATTTAATAAATATTCTTTAACTACTGAGTGGAAAAATTATAGTTCATTACAAATAAAAGTTCATAATGATAACCTAATCTGATTCTTTTATAGAAAAGAAGACACTTACACCCAGAGAGGTCAAGTTACTTGCCATTTTGCTATTGGCATAACTTGTTCAAGCAGTTGGACAGTTTGGCAGTTTTCCTAATCCACTGGACAGATATTTAGGCAGTTTTCCTAATCCAGTATTCTTTCTGTTGAGATTGTGGCTCTTCTTAGTATGCCTTTTATCTCATCGGAACTCATAAGCTCATAAATCCTCTCTATGGTTATAGCTTTGCCCCTAATTATAACTTGCCTATGTGGCCTGACCAAATTTTTCATTCATCCAAGGGAGTTGTCTTAGATCATTATAGCTTCTGTATCAAAATACCATAGACTTTGTAGCTTAGTAACAACAGGAATTTATTTTTCACAGTTCTGGAGGATGGGCAGTCCAAGAACAAGCACTGGAAGATTTGGTATCTGGTGAGGGCCCTTTTCCTGGTCTCTTCTAGCTGTGTTCTCACATGGTGGAAAGGGTAAGGCAACTGTAGGGCCTCTTTTATAAAGGCACTAATGCCATTTGTGAAGGCTCTGCCCTTGTGACCTAATTATCTCTCCAAGGCCCCATCTCTTAATTCCATCATATTGGGTATGAAGTTTCAACTCGTGAATTCTGGGGGAAGACACAAACATTGAGACCATAGCAGAATGGTAAAGGATAGCTTTTACTCCACTAACTTTGTTGCAGAACCATGCCCACTGTGTTAACCAGGCTGCTATTACAAAATGTCACAAACTGGCTAAACAACATTTATTTTCCACAGTCCTGGAGGCTAGGAAGTCCAAGATCAGGCACCAACAGATTCAGTGTCTGGTAAGGGACCTCCCCTTGGTTCATAGATGGCACTTTTCTCAGTATGTCTTCATGTAGCGGAGGAGGTGAGGGGTCTCTTTCAAACCTCTTTTATATGGGAACTTACCCCATTCATGAAGGCTCTGCCTCCATGACCTAATAACCTCCCAAAAGCTGCATCATCTGATATCATCACCTTGGACTTAAAAACTTTATTACATGAATCTTGGGAGGACATAAACATTCAGACCATAGCACCTACTCAAATGAGCCACAAAATAAAAGCAATTATAATAGCCAAATGTTCTCATTTTTTCATAAACAAGTAAATCAATGAAAAGATTGCTTATGTATTGAAGTATAGCTCAACATACATACAATCAATAATTTTAGATGGCATATATATTTTAAATCTGCACAAATATTTAAATCATAGTCATTGCTGAAACCTCTTGTTTTTTCACTAAGCAGGAAAATAATGGCTCAAAGGAAAGGAGAGAAAAATAAAGAAAAATGGACCCTATATTCCCTTTGCTTAATAACATGAATCTTCACTTTCCTTAAGGTGACTAACCTCCGGAATATTCATGTTTCCTGAAATGTATGGCACATACTGTGGTTTTTTTTTTTTTCTTCTTGCCATTTGATGATTTGTCCTTTTCTTCTCTTGGCTGTATATTCACCTCTTATGCCCTAATCCAGGCATTTTCTAAGGTTTTTGTTCTTGACTGTCCCTCTTTTACCTTCCTTTCCCATTTGTCATTATCCTCTATTCTCAAGATTAAATAATTTCCACTAAATGAATGATTTTTAAGCCTTTATCTATGGCTTATTTTCTCTTTCTCAAGAAACAATTTGCATTTTAACCTTTTGGAAATTTTGATGTAAGATGTATAATTACCAGTGTCAACATATTTAAAACTTTCCCTGACATTCCCTCCAATTTTCTCCTAAATGTTTTTCTAACCCCACTCTTTCTGTGTTATCTGTGTGCTTTCATCCTGGTTACCTTCTATAACAACAGTTTATATCACAGGACTCACAGGTAGAGGACTATCAGGAAGGGATTGTATCATCAGGCCCTACTTGTTGAAGAGCCTGTAATGAAGCATTTATGTAGAGTCTTTATCAAAAAACCGTCTGATACCTATTTATCTGACAATAAGAGATCATGATCATCATTATTTCATCAAGTGAGATTATAGATGTGAAATCTGTCTCTAAAGTCTAAAGAAAGGCTCAAATATGATGCATTTTTACTTATTTATTTTGTGGTGTATTTTCATCATTAAACTTTTTGAAATCACACACAATGCTACCAAGGTGAAGAAGCAAAATTGCAAATACTCCAAGTTGAGGTCAGTTACTGCTTTTTTTAAACCATTGCTATAGGAAATACCCATGGCAACAGGTAATTTTAGTTTCTTCTATTTGTCTTGTTTTCTGAATTATATATTTTTGCTCTTTTAGAAACAATTCTATGCTCTATTTTAAAGACACATACATACATAACTTTTTCTCCTGTTTACATTTATTACATATTAAATTGCCTTAGTAATTTTTACAAAAAGTAAATATTTAATGAAGAGCAA
Organism: Homo sapiens; assembly: GCF_000001405.40. Lineage (NCBI taxonomy): Eukaryota > Metazoa > Chordata > Mammalia > Primates > Hominidae > Homo > Homo sapiens. Next base: position 192,213,842 of record NC_000002.12, read on the forward strand.
ATTTATTGAGTTTCCCCCTAAATAGCAGACTGGTATAGTTGCTGTCTTCAAATGCCTATTTTCAATTTCTCAATGATCCTTTATACTTGACAAAACCTACCCAAACTGTAGAAAATGTTTTCTTTTTTAATTGAAAACTTATCACTTCAATCTCTATGTGATCTGAATACTGGTTGAACAGTGAATGGAGGAATAAAAAAAAATGACATATTTAAATATTTCTAATTTTTCTTCTGTTTAATGAAAAATCTTTTGAAAAAAATTTAACAGCTCTATTATCTTTGGAAAGTCATAAAATTTTACATAGCCTTTGTTTGAATCCCAGTTCCACCACTTAGTGGCTGTAAGAATTTGAGCACGCTACTTTATATCCCTGTGTTTTTGATTTCTCATATGTAAAATAAAATGCGGAAGTAAAAGGATTGTCAAGAGAAATACACTGAATAAAATATAATAGACAACACTGAAGAACTTCACTTAGTGTCTGGCATATAGTAAGCGCTCAGTAAATTTTAGCTGCTATCAAGAAAATATTATAGGATGAGAACTAAGAATTTAGAAACACCTTAACAGGGGAATTTTCTTATTTCACTCATATCACAGAATGTTATAATTTTTCTGTGTACTAGCATAATGTATGGAAGAGTGATTGTACTGAGAACATTTTTAAAAATCTGTCTGTATAAGTTGTTTTAATCCATTACAAATGTTTTCTGATTTCTCCTTTACTAAATTCTTTGTATCCAAACAATATGAGGCTTTTACGTTGTTAGTCTCCTTTCTATATTTTTATTTGTGGAGGAAAATATATCTAAGTCATGATGTTGGAATATTAAGATAATAAGCACTTACACCCAGATTAATACAAAAAGAATATCATAAAATTAATTTTATTTAATAAAGTATAAAGACATCAATATATTTTCCATTTTGAAGGCTTACTGGAACGTGTAAAATTATCATAATCAATAATGATAATATAAATCTTAATTCTGAGAAAGCATAAAACCTAAAGTTCTTCCTAAAATTAAACAATGTTTCCTTCACTGTGTTTTAAATCATGGAGCAGATTATTTACAAACATCATAAACTGTAAAGAAATGCAATATTTATTGCACCCAGGAAGCTGCTACAACAGAGACTGAAAAAATTTAATCAAGCCTATAATTAAATTATTTTAAGCCAATTAGTTATTCTCTAGTAAGTGTTTCATTAGACAATAGCACTGTGTGTTTATGTCAGATTTCTTTTCTTGCTAAGAAAGAAGAAGTAGTAGATTTTTTTGATGGACATTTATTTATCCTTTTTAATGTCATTTAAAAATTAAAAGGAAAACATTGATGTGATGTTTCTGCTTTTTAGTTTGACAGATAATCTCTCTGCCTTTAGTAAAATAGAGGACTTAATCAGAATTGTTAGCTACAACACTTAAATTGTGTAGTTCACTACTGAGGTTGTGCCAGGAAAAAGAGTGACATCACTCTACATAGGTCTAGCTCACTGCTTCATTCATAGCCCTTCTTAGTAGTGCAAGCTTCCCTGGGTATTGCAAAAATGATGGTGCCTTCATCATTTAGAGATGCACAAGTTTAATAAAATTCCAAGGATTTTATCTGGTTTTCCAGCTGAATCTTTTAATAATATTAGAATGAAGGAGATTTGTTTTTAAGGTTGATTTCTTTTTTCTTCTAAAAGCATGAAATCTGAACAGATGGGATCTCAGATCCAGCTTAGTGAGAACTGAAGTTGTTTCATACACTTTTTTTTTGTCTTTAGAAACAAAAACTAACAGCATTAATTTAGCCTGAATCTGTACAGTACTAGTATTGTCCATCATAGATAGCTCAATGATGAAGTGTTAACTGCAGCTGCAGATTCAGTATCTAGGCCTTTGTTGTATTTCTTTTTTTTTTAGGAAGCTATTAATGAGATTCTTTTTTAGTTTAAGGCCATCTCCCTCCCTTTTTATTTGCATTTGCTCTTTCAAGAAAATACTTAATTTGCTAAAACCTGGCATCAGTAATAAGAAGGACACTTTAATAAAGTATTTCGGAATTAAGCTTGAACTAATTCTCAGTTATTACCTATTTCCTTTAGGAGGAGGAAATAAAATATTATATACTGTTAAATTTATGATTATATTTATCAGCAGTTATTTATAAACTTCTTTCTTGCTATTGCCTACCTTGATGGGTAAATCACTGTAATTAAGTAACAGAATGCCTCCTGTGTTAGGTGTGATATAACTTAGATTCTCCTAGGTTCTCATTTGCTAAAAATCTATTTTATATCTTTACAATATGAGAGTATTTCTCAATATAACTTCAGATATTTAGGGCATTAATTAGATATTTAAAAAGTGTTCAGTGTCATCTGATGGTAGTTTTTTGAGCAATCATCATATATTCGCTAATCAGATAATAAAAATTATTACATCATAGAATTTTAGAACCCAAAAGAAACATAGGGCTTATATAGCCCTACTCTCTTGGTTTTCAGATGAGGCACTACATGTCCAGGGAGGTGAGGTGACAGACGTGAGTCACATGCCTGGCCAGTGACCATGTCAAGATGAGAATCCTAGTGCCAATCCAATCTGTTTTTTGTTACCTCATAATAGTCCTCAGTGGACTTGGTCCTTTTGTTGTCGATTTTTCCCCAATACACAGTTATATTCATTGAATTTGACACTCTAGTTATGTTAATTATATAAACCACAATTTATCCATTGCATGAGAGCAGAATAAAGCTATTCATACATGCCAAGGTTTAAGAACGCTTTAGACAATGCAGTGTATTGTGTTTTGCAAATAAAGACATTAAAATGTTTACATGCTGTGAGCTAAAAGCTCATGGGTACCTGTAAATACCAGAAGGAAAGCTTCTCAAAAAAATATGAAATACTTGAAAATGTCTTGTGTCAATTGGTTTTTGTTATTCTTTTTACTTCATTACCTTGGTGTCTTCAGTTCTTTATAGTTTGTAATCATTTATTAATAGTTTTTGATACAATTCTACATTTCTTTTAGTGTAGTCAACAAAACACAAACTTAAATTATACCCTTAATTAGAATTATTAATTCTGGAGGCTCTTTCTAAACTTGTCATTCACTTAAATATTTTGGTAAAAATACATTTATTTTTTGTTCTAACCTTCATAAATACCACCCATTCTGTATTGTAACTATGAAAATGTTTGAGCACGCAGAAAACATACTACTTACCAAATAGATTTCAGTCTGAGATGCTTAAAGTGAAGCAATTAATTCTAAAGAATTCTTATGTATTTGTATTACCACTTTACTAACAGGTGTCCAGCAAGCATTCTTGTGTGTGTGTGTGTGTGTGTGTGTGTGTGTGTGTGTGTGTGTCTATATCTATCTGTCTAATGTATCTCGTATTCATGCTTCAAAATCTCACTTAAATGTCACGTCTAAGAAGAAGATTATCTAGTCCCCTACCCAAAGCCAACCTAGCTGCTCTCTTCACTTTATACTGGGAGTAAGATGCTCAATACAATTACCCACGTACCTTTCTGAGTCTTAATCTAGACTGCAAACTCTTGAATTGTGGGCCTCCATCATATTCTTATTGTTTATTACTTTGCCTGGAATATAACAGATACTCAATGACATTTTTGCTGAATTAATACAATAATGTCTTAATAATAAGACAATAAATTAATAAAATAATTTAGTACCATATAATTATATAGAAACTCTAGGAAATTCAAATAGAACGAGAACAAAATACCCTACATTTAGGTGATAAATGATAAAGCCTGAATCTAGAAATATGTACATAGATTAGTTGTAATGACTATCAGAGCTCTAAAACTACATTTTAATTCCAAAATAATTTTGCATTTCTGTACAGAAAAGAGTGAAGTATGACTTATCAACTTAGAAATGTCTTATTTAACTATTTATCCCTAATGATTTTTACTTTCACTTATTTTATAAATTACATTAGGTAAGATACAAGTATAATTTCTTTAATGCAATTAGGTCAACATTTTTCCTGAAAAAATCCTTTCCTGTTCTGTTTTTAGGGCAACTTGCCTAAAATTATTTCAGTGTCTTTTGAGCTGTTTATCTCCAACATTTAAAAATATATTTTGGCCGGGCGCGGTGGCTCACGCCTGTAATCCCAGCACTTTGGGAGGCCGAGGCGGGCGGATCACGAGGTCAGGAGATCGAGACCATTCTGGCTAACACAGTGAAACCCCGTCTCTACTAAAAAACACAAAAAATTAGCCGGGCGTGGTGGCGGGCGCCTGTAGTCCCAGCTACGCGGGAGGCTGAGGCAGGAGAATGGCGTGAACCCGGGAGGCGGAGCTTGCAGTGAGCCGAGATCGCGCCACTGCACTCCAGCCTGGGCAACAGAGCGAGACTCTGTCTCAAAAAAAAAAAAAAAAAAAAAATTATATATATATATATATATATTTTATGTAGCTGTTATTTTGAAATTAATGCCATAAATTATTTATATTTTTAAATATTGATACCAAAATAAGCCATGTTTATAATTCAATTATTTGTTATGCCAATCTCTTCATTAATCAATATAAATGAAATTCCATTTTTGAATGTGGCGGTATTTAAACTTCTTGAGAAAACAGAGATTGCAGTCTGTAGAGGTCAAGGCAGCTGGAATTTGCCCAGTAGAATACCTACGGAGAAGAAAATGCAGAGAGAGAGCTAGAGAGACCATGAGAGCTACAGAAATCTGCAGAGGTTTCCCTGAGTCTTTGGCAGAATAACAGTTTGCATATGTATGGGATGAAATCCCATAAGGCCAGACAAGCACCACTTCTAAGGAAAGAAATTTACTGTGGAGCTGTAAGATAGACAATTCTCAGAGCTCACACAGGGCTGGGATTTTTTTTTTTACTTCCCACCTTATTAAATACAGGGGCATTCAGTAGACATCCAGGCTGGGCCACAACTTAGATGAGGAGCTTACTCAGCACTAGAATAAAAGCTACACTGGACCTGCCTTAAAAATTTTTTGAAAGAAAGGTTCACAAGATCATAGTAATCTGTAAGTAACTTAATCCGACAGAAAAAGTTAATCACTTAAAAGAATACAAAAAATCCAACGTTCTTGAACATAAATTCATGATGTCTTTCAGCCAGCAAAAAATTAATATTTAACAAAGAAGCTGAAAATTTCTAATCAACTCCAAATGTAAGTTGTTAAGCTTTTTTGATTTTAATTGCCAAAAGTTGGAATTCAATTACTAATTAAGTAGCTATAGTTCTACTGTCACTAGAATATATACAAATACTGCATTTTGTGGAGACTTTCCTATAAAGACAGGTCATGTATTTATAACGTCATCACTTACCAAGCATTTTTCAATCTTACCTTAATAAATATATACCAAACACTATGTGGTCATGATGATAATTTGCTAAAATTTATGTTGTGGGCAAGTGAGGTTCAGCAAATTTACAATGCTTGAAGTACCAAAGAAGAAATTTCAATCTACTGACCCCAAATACACATTATATTTTTATGCTGACAAAAAACTTCATGTAAGTGTATGATTATGAAAAGTTGCGTGGAATTTTATTGGATAAATATTTCTAGTTATTAATCATGTTTATAGATTGTTTCCTAAATATATATCTCCTATATAACTGGTAGTGGTACTTTCTACCCTAAGAGAACTGCCGTAAAATAACTTAAAAGCAAAGCTCAAAAGTAAAAAGGCTAATACTATATTATTATTATTTAGATGTCTTATAACAATATAAAGAAATTTACAAAATTATACAAAGAAATGATTTGTAACATTACTTTGAGATTACTACAAGGTACACGAATGCAAATTATTGTAAAGCAATTATTTAAAGAGAAAAGGAAATAAACCTTGATTATCTGCAATACACCTGCTTTTTCTTCTATCTTTCTGACCAATTCTTCTGTTTCCTTTACTCAAATACTCTTTTCTGTTCATCTTTAAAATATTAGGGAGCCTAAGGACCTCTCTATACACAATATTTTTAGGTAAACCTATCAATCTCATGTTTTTAAATATTCAGATATCACTTGATGCCTTCAGCCCTGATCTTTTCTCTCTGAAATCTAACATTATTCAACAACCTATTTGACATTTCAAAATGGAATTTTAATAGACATTTCAAACTTTATATTACTGGAACAGAATTCTACTCCAAAACTGCTCCCAATCAAATCTTCTCTGTCATGGTTAACAAAATTAATTAAAATATGATGTCTTGTCCATCAGGCCAAAGTTTACAAATTTCCCTTTTTCTCATGATTAAGTCATCCATTCCATTACCAAGTCCTATTGATTCACTTCCCAAGCAAACCTCTGATTACCTCTATTATCACCCACACCCAAGCCATGGTCATCTCTCTCTCCTGTGCTGTATAGTTGCAGTGCTTCTAACTGGTTTCCCTGTACCTACTCTTTCCCCCTTCAAAATCCATAGAATAATCTATGTGCAACTCTAAGCCTTTTTTATTGATATTCTATTTTAATTCAAATACATTCAAATCTCTTACCCTGACTTATGAAACTCATGATATCTTACATGACCTTGTACTTCTCTAGTCTAACATCTTCAACGTCATTCCAACCACTCTCATTATCCATCATTGTTGGTTCTATTCACAATGGCTCTTCTGTACATATATATTTCCTTGAAATCTTAAAATTATAAGATATAAAATTCCAAGCCTACTTTCAAGAGCACTAGTGATGACCATGGGAGTGACAAGGTGCATATCTATAGGTAAGTCAACATAGAGTTTCGAACATGGTTTCAACCTCAATTTCAAATAAATAACAAGCAATTATTAAGAATCCACAAATATTAAGTAGGTTAGACTAGGATATTGTGAGGAAAAATGAAATTCAGATAAAGAAAAATTCCTGGATAAATCTGAAAATCACCTGTGAGGAAACACAGCCAAGGGTAATTGACCTCCCAATGGTGAAATACTTAATAGAACAGACAATTATCTACGTAGCAGTTTGAGGGTTTTTTTTGACTTTCTTATTTTTAACCTGACAATGAAATTTTCAATTTCTACTCCTTTCCAACTTCTTATTTCCTATTTGAGGAAAAAGAACTCAGATCAAAATTGCTCCCAAATCCTACTATTTTATTTCTGATCTCAGATAACAACACTGGATTAAGAAAGACTGGATAGACTTTCTTAATCCAGTCTATCATTGTTGGACATTTGGGTTGGTTCCGAGTCTTTGCTATTGTGAATAGTGCCGCAATAAACCTATGTGTGCATGTGTCTTTATAGCAGCATGATTTATAATCCTTTGGGTATATATCCAGTAATGGGATGGCTGGGTCAAATGGTATTTAAAAGAAGACGTTTATGCAGCCAAAAGACACATGAAAAAAAAATGCTCATCATCACTGTCCATCAGAGAAATGCAAATCAAAACCACAATGAGATACCATCTCACACCAGTTAGAATGGCGATTATTAAACAGTCAGGAAACAACAGGTGCTGGAGAGGATGTGGAGAAATAGGAACACTTTTACACTGTTGGTGGGACTGTAAACTAGTTCAACCATTGTGAAAGTCAGTGTGGTGATTCCTCAGGGATCTAAACCACTTTTAATAGTTAAAATGAACTACTGGAAATTTGTAAGAATACGGGTTTTTTAGATAAATATCTTCATTGCTGAAATATATTTAGGTAGGTTAAATAAATATATTGCCATAAATCAGATAAGATAGTGAACTTCTGTATTTTAAAAAAATTTCTTATACAAAAATATCTTTGATGTCTACATAGCAGTATACCTTGTATATTGTCTATCAATCTTATTTTTTAAATAATAAAATAATCAATATGGAAACAGTAAAAGGGAAATAGAAAGCTTTACCTTCTCACTCAGAGAATAGAATAGAAAATGGGATATAAAATGAAACTTAGGAAGCATTAATAATAGTAACAGTCTTAGAAAAATAAAAATGATGAAAGACCCAAATCTATTTTATTAGCTTTTACCTATTGTGATTTATTTGGAATGGAATCATATAACCAAATTTGCTTCAATCAAGTCAGAGTACTAAGTCATATTGATTACTCCTATTAGGGTAAAGAGCCTATCTGTGCACACCTGGCCTTTTACAGTTCAAATGCTCCTTGCTATGGCATTTTAGGATATATGAAGTATACATAAAATTGGCTGCTTGATATTCTAATTTGCACATAAAAAATGAGTTCTTTTCATTTGTTTCCTTGATGGCAATATATATATAAGAAAGACTGGATGGTGTATATATGTGGCACATATACACCATGGAATACTATGCAGCCATAAAAAAGGATGAGTTCATGTCCTTTGTAGGGACATGGATGAAGCTGGAAACCATCATTCTCAGCAAACTATCGCAAGGACAAAAAACCAAACATCGCATGTTCTCACTCATAGGTGGGAATTGAACAATAAGAACACATGGACACAGGAAGGGGAATATCACACACTGGGGCCTGTTGTGGGGTGGGGGGAGGGGGGAGGGATAGCATTAGGAGATAAACGTAATGTTAAATGACGAGTTGATGGGTGCAGCACACCAACATGGCACATGTATACATATGTAACAAACCTGTGCGTTGTGTACATGTACCCTAAAACTTAAAGTATAATTTTAAAAAAGTGGTTTAAAGATGTGATTCAGAGAAATCCAAGTTTGGGCGAACCAGATTTTTAATCCTTATTCTTACTATATCTGGATGCATGTCAGCAAATTACTTAATCTTCCTGGATCTCAGTTTTCTTATCTGAAAGATAAGAAAATCAGTCTTTATGATCACTGTATGTAAATTCTATGCTTTATCCAAACACCAAATACAATGCTTTTAATGAGAACAAGGTCAACTATGATGTTTCCACCCTTAGCTGCTTGTTACTACGAATGCCAGAATTTGATTAAAGTGGCAAGACACAACTGCAAAGGCCACAAGCAATTTTAGCACTCTGCTTTCTGAGGTCATCAACAAGCTGAGTTTATTGAGTTCCTTTCACTGTGGTAGTTCCAAAAAGGATGCAAAAAACAGAAAATATAGTCACTACTCTCATGGAATTTGAAATTCCTCCTTCTGTAAAGTCTATTAAAATGATGGTATACTGTGTCTTTAAATAATAATATTGGCATATTATTGCTGTTTTTAAATTTCTATTACAAAATTCTATTTTGAACAACTTAGACCAAATAAAATATCATTAGCTAATATAATATGCCACAAAGGTGCAAGGGTATAGTGGGGTCTTATAGATTATTAAAACCAGCACTATAAGCACTCCACTAAAAAAACCTCAATTTTTCTCTCTTGCTATCCATCTGTCCCTTCACATTTCTCTCTACATGTTAATTTTATTCTCTGAGATTGGTCACTTCAGCACAGCTACTAGAGTTTCAAGTTCACATTTCTTAGATTTTCTATGACAGATGCACTAAGAATCATCTTCGTTCTTGTTCCAAGTTAAAAACAAAACAAAATAAACACACCAAAAAACAAAACACCAAGAAGGGCACACATTGGTCAGGCAAGGTAGTGTAATAATACAGTGGGCTTGGTGTTGGTCAGGTGTTTACACCTGGTTCCTCAATGTTGGCCAAGTGACAGTGGGATTTGTAAGAAGAGACCAGGTGCAGCTGGAACCACGAGGTTGAGCAGAAGGTAAGGAAGGAGCTTGCACTAGAAAAGAAGGAATGCTATCCTGGGAAAGTAGCTACAGCTGAATAGATAATAAACTTATTCAGAGAAAAAAAGTTATTGGACATAACTCCTAAACAAGTAAGGCTTTATCAAATAGCTGCAGACTCGATGTAATCCAGCTGGATAACAGCTAAAGCTGGGGAGACAACAACAGTACCAGCAGGAGGAGTGCAGGTGCAAAATATGCTTAGAGGCAGCGTGGGGGTTAGTTCAGAGGAAGCACTGATACAAATCCAATCAAGCAAGGTCACTTCCTCTGGAGATGCTATTATTTTTATTCCCTCTTCGGTTTTCCACTTCAGAGCACATTTCCAATCTCTCTATCTTTAGAGATTTCTATGTGGTTGCTCTTTTCTTTTGTCATAAATGATATGACACCTGCAAAAACACGTACACTTGTTTTCTGAAGAGATGAGAATTAGTATAACCTGGGAAGAAGCAATTGATCTAAAATGAAACAGTTGGGGATTGTAATAAAAAAGAGCATACCCAACTTAGGGAAACTGTGCCACAAGAGAAGGCAGCTTAAAATTATTGCAGGCATCAGGTGTGGAACAGTGATCTGCTGGTAATTCTCATGCAACAGGAAAGAACAGCGACTTGATAAATAGAACACTTCACTCTCCTTTTGGGAACATTATTTCCAGGGAGATAATAAGTTTTCTTTCCTTAGATACCAAGGAAACTTAAATATCAGATAAAAATGAGTGTGCTTGTATTCGTTTAAAATATACATTCTAAGCCAAGTCATTATCATTATTTCATTTTATTTTTGACTTCATTTGATATTTTAAAGAAATTTGACTTCTGTTTTCTATAAAATAAAACTATATTATACCATGATAAGAGGAAAGCGGAAATAGAAACACAGCCCCAAATTGATTATCTTCACTGTTAACTCTCTCGGAATAAAAATTTTCCTTCTAATATTAATGAAATAGATCTTTTTAGTCTTTGATTATATGGCAATTCCCTCATCTTCCTCTGAAATATTCAAAGATTCTGCCTGTCTTTCTTCCTTGACTATTTCTTTTCTGATTGAAGCCCCTACTGAAACCAGAAATTTAGATGTCATTAGCAAGAGGTATGACTTTTTTTTGTGTGTGTGTGATTTGGAGAACAAGAGGGACTCAATATCAAGAATGGATATATCAGAGCCTACAAGCAACTGCTTCTAAAGCAAGTTGGGGGTTAACACGAAATTAGTGCAGCATTCCTGTAGTCCTGATACTGTAACAGTGAAGTAAACTTTGGCTCTGGCGCTGTCTTTATGGTAAATCTGAGGTAATTGTAACTTTCTATTAAACCATAAGAGAAAAATAAAAAAATAAAAATTAGTTCGAGAGAAATGATTTTAGTACATAATTAGTACTTAGTGAGAAGATTGTTACAGAGTCTGGGGGCTGATATCTAGGAATAAGCACTGAGGAACAGCCTGGAATCCCCACCACTTCATTTTCAGCCCATATAAGGAACTATTAACTTTCCTATTTCCTGAATAATATTAAAACAAGTAAAGAATAGGAAAATAGCACCATATCTTCGAGTACTCAAATTAAACTTTTTTAATAATATAAGTTTTTGTAAATGTTAAAATAACAAAACTATATTTATACAGAATAATAACATCTAAAATATGTTCATTTCTCATTGAACAGCATATGAATGTATATTATTTCATTAACTCTTCACAGTAACACTAGGAAGTGGTGTTAATCCCCTTCTAGAGATAACAAAATTGAGGAGTATGCTTAAACTTTCCAAACTTCAAGTTGCTATGCGTAAATAAGTGATGAATCCAACATTTTAACCCAAGAGTGTTTGAATACAAATCCGCATTTTTATCCAATCTGTTCTGCATTTTCTCAACATGGAGATTTAAGCAGCAAATTGGAACAAAAATTTTAATTTTATGAATTAATTTGCAGCCTTTGAATGCAGCCAAATACACTTTATGTTAGAAACAGAAAAGTACAGACCTAGATATTTCCTGAGAACCTCAAGAGAAAAAAATACCAATATTTTGGACAAGAATGTTAGGCCAACAATGATGAAAATATAACAAAAAAGGCATGAATTACTCAAGCTTTTTCATCATCCAACAAACACAAAGCAATAGACAGTCAAAAATTCAGGCTAGGCACAGTAGCATATGCCTGTCCCAACATTTTGGAAGCCCAAGGCAGAGGTTCACTTGAGGCCAGGAGCTTGAGACCAGTCTGAGCAATATAGTGAAACTTTATCTCTATAAAATAAAATAAAATAAAATAAAATAAAATAAAATAAAATAAAATAAAATAAAATAAAATAAAAATATTAGCCAGGCATGGTGGCATGTATCTGTAGTCCCAGCTACTCAGGACTCAGGAGGCTGAGGAGGGAGGATGGCCTGAGCCCAGGAGTTTTAGGTTGCTGTGAGCTATGATTGTGCCACTGCGCTCCAGCATGGGTGATAGAGCAAGATTCTGTCTCTAAAAACAGATAATGAATAAATAATGAAAAAATTAATTAAGAAACATGGATCAAGGATCAACAGGTAGCTTGCTGATGTCAATGATTACTCTTAAACCTTATTGCTATGTCATTAAGAACAGTGTTGCTGCTTGTGGTCTTCCTAAAAAATAAAACATTATCATTTATTTCAAGTAAAATACTTTAATGCAAGTCAGAGAATAATTGATAAAAATTAAGCACAAATAATTTATAATACAGTAGATGAATAGGGATATACAAAATAATGCTGCAAGAAAAATTTCCATTGGAAATACAGTTAGAGGAGATAGCAGTTTTAATTGTGAAGATCAAAGGAAGGCTTACAGAGAAGGTGAATTTGAAGGATGGAGGATGGGGGGATTATAACAGTCAGGAAGAGAGGGCGAAGATTACACTAAAAAATGTTTACATGCATTAATTCATTTTCTTAAAGGATTGGGACAATGGAAATAACAGATTCTCTGAGTTCTATAACTGCCAAAAGTTAAGAGCTTCATTTAGTCAAGGAAACTGTGAAGAGTTTAGTTGGGTGGAAGCCAAGGAAAAGGAAGAGGACTATTATTTACTGACCATATAACATATGGCAAGATCCATATTAGATGTCTGTGTTTCCTTATTAAATTATTACAATGGCCTTCTAAGTTAAACATCTCTTCTCATTTTACTGGGAAGGAACAAAAATCGGAAGATTAACCTGTCCCAGGTCGAATCATTGGTGAATGCTGAGGCTGAGATTTGACTCCAAGGACATCAGATTCCAAATCTCGTGTTCATTCCACCATCACAAATGTTTCCTAAACTGTGTCCTTCAGAACAGTACTCAACAGATACTCCATTAAAAAAAGGTGCTTTACGTAAAATTCATTTGGGAAATAGTTCACTCTATATCCACTCTCTGGCTATTTTTAATTCACACTAGCATCCTAAAGCTTCTGAGAACTATAGAAAAGAGACATGATTAACTTTGCTTATCATATCATTTCCCAAATGCATTTGACCTTGGAGACTTTTTTTATTAAAATATAACACCTATTAGTGTCCTGAAATTAGTGTTCTTAGGGACATCCTGTGGGGAACTCTATTGGAAACAAGCAGAAAAGTGCATGAGCAGTGCTACTAGATGTTAAGAGATAAAATCGAAAGAGTGAATCAGTGCCAGATCACAGAATGCTTAAAATAAAAAGCCAAGGAGAATCAACTTAATTTTGCAGGCAACTTGAAAAGAATCTTTGAAGGATTTTGGACAAGAAAGTGATGTGGTAATATATTCCTCAGAATACCCCCATGTATCCTGAATATTTAATGATAATTACAGATTTCAGCAATAATTTTTCAGACATCACACCCTCTGCTAATATTTAGTGCTTCATTTTCACAGAAGAAAATTTGCATCTCATGAGCAGAGTGAATGCCAAACTTTACTAGAATAATGGTTCAACTGTTTTTGTTCTGCCATCATCTATCTTCTAAAATAATTGTTTTAATGGATTTATCATTTACCATGATGAAAAACTGTTGAATAATATACCCAGGATAACTTTAGTAGAGGTAGCTCTATGCAATTAATTGTGAAAATGTTTTCACCCTTGACACATCAGTTGAAGTTTGCTTTTCTATGAATCGTGTGAATTGTTTTCATCAATAAATAATGTTTTAAATGGTCAATTTATAGCTCTTTATGTTATACCAGTCTGTGTCACATAAGTGTAAACCCTTTATGGAAAGAGCTTGCTTACAACCAAGTTTTCTAAATCACTAGAATGCCAAAATTTCATGTAGGCTCATCAGCATTTGTGAATACTACATAATATGATGTTTCTCAAAGGTGTAGTCATCAGAGGACCTTCTCATAATTATCCGGGGTGCTGGATAAAAATACAAATTAGGAGGTTTACTCCCAGACCAACTGAAATGATTTATTGCAATGGGGAACTTTTTAAAAATAGGATTCTGGGAAATGCAGGTATTTATGAAGATTTGAGAAAACACTGACCTATTAAGTCAATGAAAAAAGAAAAAAAAAACCTCTTTCTAATTTCAAAGGTAATTGCACAAATACAGTAGGCCAGTTATTCAACTTAATAAACAATCATTATGTGTAAAAGACTCCATAAGTTGCCTTCATATAAGATTGCAAAAATTGTAAAAACAGAAGAAATTTGGAAAAAATGAAAAAGAATGGACAATATAATCTTATAAATATATGCATCATACATATGTGCAAATATTACATGTAAAAGCCACAGGTATTTAAAAATAGTGATACATTGATCAACCATTATAGACATGAAAACCAAGACTGAAAAATGTAGTCATATCTCAACAATCCAAGCATGCTCCTAGCTTAAGGACTTGGAATTTTTTATTTCCTTTGTTTAGAAGGCTCTTTTCCCAGTAATTTTTCGTGGGCTTCTCACAAAGCAAAATTTTACACCTTGTGATGTAATTAGGGAATGCAATTCTAGGGAAGCAGAAATGAGAAAAGGGGGGAAGGAAGAAAAGACAGACTGAGGGAGAGAATAAAGAGAAAAAAATAAAACAAAGGCTGGGCTATAGAGCTGGCTACTGCTTGACATCCAGTGCAGCTAATGTCTCCATTTTATGGACCCATCTTCCAAGGTCATGAAAGAGTGTGTCTCAGGATTTACTTCTGGAAGAATGAAGTGAGAAGAATTTATCCTTCAGCTCCCCTCTTCATTGGTTAAAGTATTCTCCTTGAGGCATTGACTCCTCTGTGTTTCCAGATTGTAAGTGAATGGATGTTAAGGAATTCAGGCAGAATGTCTCATGCCTCAGCATCAATAGGGAAGCCACTGCCTGAAGCAGGATGCAAGAGATACATGAGTAGTTCTTGGGTGATGTGTCTGAGTAAAGTTAGTCAGAGCCCATGTGCAGTTACTTTATGTAGCAGAAGCTGGGGAGGAACAGGTATTTGAAAGACCAGACAGGTGAGGCTGAGAGATTCTGTAACTGGTACATAGGTATGATAGGGATAGGAATGTGAGTTTATATATAAAGAGTGTCTGGTAGGAATATAAACATGGCTTCTCTGCCAAATGTCACTTTTACAGAGAGGATATCTCTACTCCTTGCCCTGCATATTTTTTTGTTGGAGTAATTAATACTTTGTGATATTATGTTACATACTGTTTTGCATGCAATTTTCTTTTCTTATTAAGATGTAAGTTCAGGTTCAGGGTCATTGTTTAGATCATTGCTATCTATCCACTGCTCAGTACAATACCTTGAACATAGTTGATGCTCAGGAAATACTTCTTGAATAAATGAGTGAACTAATTTATTAAGTTACTTGCTCAAGTTCACTCAACCAGTGACAGAGAGCAGAGGAGAACTTAGTTAATGTAGATTCAATTCATTTAACATTGTCTAATCTGGGTACAATATTTTGATAAACTATGATCCAAATTACAGAGAGTTAGATTATAATATGATGAATTAAATAAGGAAAAATCACTAAAATTTCATATGTCATAAATTATCTAGGTCAGCACAGTCCAATAGAAATTCAAGTGATGATAAAATGTCCTATATCTGTGCTATCCAATTTGGTAGCCACTAGCCCCATGTGACAATTGAATGCTTAAAATGTGGCTAGTAGACTAAGTAACTAGATTTTTAATTTTAATTATTTTATACTTAAAAGGCCACATGTGGCTACTGGCTATCATATTGGAGAGTTCGTCTGTAGGTATTTGTTTATAATTTCAGAAACTAATCTTTTTTACAACTGCCTACTTGACAAATGTGTCAGTTCTGAAGATTTAAATCAAGTGGGACCAATAATTTGACTCTCATTTTATATTTTAATTTTTCCTTCTAGAAACTTACATGAGGATTAATTAAATAAAGGGGAGAAATTGATTTAGAATGTCAGAGTAAGTACTTGGGGGACAGATATCACTGGGTTGTTTCAATAGTCTAAGATTTTCTGTTTCCTCTCTGAATGATCAGATTGCACCCAGTACTAATGTGAGTAGGACAAAGTTTGGGCAAATGGAGCTTAACTTTCTTAAATATAAAAATTATTACTTATTTTTTTCCCCTTCAACTCTTCCCAGATAGCTTGATGATTTAGCTTACTGGGAATAGTCACTCCCATCTTGGAAGAGAGCACAGCACAATGAGCAAATCCCACTCACTTCAGGGGCTTGAGGAATGCTTTTAAACTGTATATAAAACTGGTTTAATGAGTATTTGGGATATTGTTGTATTTTCTCCCAGATTTTAGTCTTTCTAGGAGCAAACAAACTGTCCTAACCTTTTCTAAAAGTGAAAAATCAACGTGGAGTAAGCATATTCTCTAAAATATCTTTACACAAAAGAACAAAGAAAAATACATTGGGCTGGCACAAGTCATTTTGGTTGTATTCCTTGTATGTTATACACATTTTAAAAGGAGAGAGTGAAAGCCAGTCAAAGAAATATGTCCCATCCTAATAAAAATATAATCTGTTATAATGCCAAAATAACAGGGATAGTAACATAACAGCAGTGAAGAAAACACGTGATAGAAAATTAGAGACATTAGGCTTAACCCAATTAAGATGGCATATATTTAATGACCTCCGGAGAAAGTTAATTTTTTAAACCACACTCTCTCGCTACCTGGAAATATCTCTTTATGTCTGACTTAAATATCTCACAGTGCAATTTAAATTCATTTCCTTTTTGTGATGCCCAGTGGAATAAAAAGTATGCACTACTTTCCTTTGAGGGGTAAGCCATAATTTGTTTAAAGATCAATAAATATTCAGCTTCTCAGATTTCTTCAGGCTAATGACTCTATTTAATGTTTCCTTAGAGGTCTCCATTATTGTTGTCATTCTACCCTGAACTCTGTCTAAATTCTGTGTGTTCTTTTTAAGCTGATGAGCCTCACAGTCATTTTCACAGACTGCATCTCTATACGCTAAGTGAATGGCCCAGAGCACTCAACAACTAGGCTTGGCTGCCACAAATGCCCTGCCATTATACACAATCACCACCGTGCCTGTTGTTCTGCATTCTCTTAATGTACTACATTGGAGTGGAGTCAAGTATGAACAGAAATGCCAAGCATTTGACTCCACTTCGATGATATTTGTAGATATGTAGGTAAAAGCAGTCTTTTGAGTATTTACTTTTCCCACTCAATATTTTTTTCCTCTTTATTTTTTGCCCTCTTAAAAGGTACGTTGCTGAGATCTGGCCGTATGTGGCTTGGTTGCTGTGTTTTAAACACTCCCTCTGTGTTGTTCCCTTGAAAGCCTTGGCAAATAGGTTAGAATACCCGATTTGCTGCATTTTCCATGCTTATTGCTGTTTTCTTTTCCAAGCTTGAGAAAATAACTCAACATGGTGTGTGGATGAATGCCTTTCATTCCTGTATGCTGCCTCCAACTTTTATAGTTCTATTTAGTTTTCTTCAAATTATTATTTCAACAGTTATTCTACATTTCTCTACTGTTTCAAGAGCAAATATCTTTTTTATTTTCTTCTGGTTGTACAAAAAGTTAGTAAAATCATAGCCTGGAGCTTTTAAATATAGAATGGGCATTAACTGCACTCAAGTAACTATTTCATCTAGGCTAGGAAAGATATTGAATTTGGAGAGCTGGGGACAAAAACAGTAAGGAAGCTTTGTGAGTGAGCACAAGATAGATCTCCCTAAATGTCACTTTGTATTTTTGTGTCTTTCTTCCTTCTTATATGAATATGGTGTGATCAGTCACAGATTCTTTTAGTTTGTAATGCTCTACGGAAAAAAATGTAGCTTGTCAGAGAGGCAAGTTCTTGGAGAGGCAAGGGACTCTCACTGGGGGGCCCTTGACCCTTCTCCGGTCAAGGCTTCCTGTGGGAAGCCTTCCCTGACTGTCCTTCTTCAGTCCTTCTCTGAACTGGAATTGTGCTGGAATTGCCTATTCAAAAAAAATTTAAAAAACCAAACAAAACCTCTATGGAATAATTGAGGTTATTGCTAAGGGGTTTTCTCTATATTTGCAAATGAAGTTCTTAATTGTGACATGTCTCATAGCTTACAGTTGATGACCATTGGCTCATACTTAAGAATAATGCTGAAAAAATTAGTTGATCTGTGCAATATATTATGTATTGTCAAGGCATGTTTTCCACAATAACAGTTCAAGGTATTTTAATTTCAGATTCTCAAGTAATTTTCACTTCCTCAAGTAATTTTCACTTCATGCTCTGGAATGCTGATAATTTTCACCCATTTTAGTACAATTGTTTTATTATTCTGGTTAGGAGATCTATTATATTTGCAGTTAAAGTTAGGATTACTAGTTTTCTTAGCATCAATATAATGTAAATGTGAAAATTTTTACATGTTTGAAAACGTCATCATTTCCCCCCCAAAGGAATGTTGGATTGCAATTGAAAACGCTAAATCCAAAAATTTCCTTCTGAAACAAATCAGCACTTCACCATAAAAATTGAGTGTCCTTATCATTTAGTATCCTTATTAATAATTATTCCTTTCTGCAATGGCAATCATTAAAGGCTAATATTAGACTATGATGGATAACAATGTATGCTATGGTGACAAGAATTAGCCTGTATAATAAATAATGTTTTACATGGTGTTCATACAGACAAAACTTCCACGACTAGTTTTTTACTGGTATAAATATATAGAATAAATGTAAATAAGTAAGTTCAACCAGACACTAAAATTGCTTCTTAAGGGCATTATTGCATTTCTAAGAGTAGGGAGGTTCTAAGTTTAGTTAAATTGATGTTACTCATAAAGAAAAAATGAAGCAATTTGTAAAAAATGCTGAGCAGAACATTAGGAAACATTTATGAAAATATTTATTACATAATTATCAAGTCAGTAGTATCTTAAGTCAACATGGTGGAGGGAGATGAGGTTTATATTAGAATATAAGTTGTGCCATCTAATAACTGTGAGACTATGAAAAAATACTCTGTAGAACTTATTTCCTTCTAAAGTAAAGGCTCATGCCACCTCATACGTTTAAGTGAAATAAGGACTATAGAAATCCTGACTGATAAACTATTCAGTCCATATAGATTTTTTTTTTTTTAGAGAACCTACCATGTGTGGACTTACAGCATATATAACATAGCCTTGGTTCTTGCCTTGACAAAATAAATTACACAGATAATTACAATGTATTGAAATCGAGATGAGTGCTATTCAGGAAAAGCAAACAGGGACAGAACGGCATCTATTTCTAGGATCTAACTTATTGAAGGGTAAGTGAAGCCACACCCAATGGAGTGCCATTGAAATGGGAACCTAAAAGCAAGAAGAGGAGGTATTGCCTGATAAAGTGAGAGAAAAGTCTTTCTGTCAGATGCAAGAGCTGATGACTCTGGAATCTAAAGCAGCTTGGCATGGCCCAGAAATGAAAAAAGTTCAGTAAGGCTATGAGAGTCTCTTAAATTTCTTTTTCAATATCTTACTTGTTTATGAACTCCCTAATATTGTTAAGGATCTTATTCTTCATTTTTTTGTCCTAATTTTTAATATGTAAGTTTTGTTTATGGCACAGACCAAATAATTACTGAACTGAAGTCTGGCTATTTTAGGTGTCTAGACTTAACCTAAGTATGCCTTCCTAAGCATGAAACTTAGCCATAACTGTATGTTCACTGACTACCAGACTGGGTCTATCAGGAATGATAGGATTCTCATGGGCCTATTCACATTTTAAAATTTGTTATTTCTTATAGTTACTAGTAGTAAAAAACGTGCATCTGTACTTTTGCTCCATTCTTTGGCAAATAAATTGTGATATCTCTAGTTGGAAATATTTTTTAAAACATGAGAACTATTTATTAAACCTAATTGCTTCCTCTTCTCTAATCCTCTAAATTTAAATTTATAAAATTCTTTATATAGGAGACAATTTACTTTCATGTTTTGTTTCAGGAAAATAAATGAAGCTTCCTGAGCTATTTTCCAGAGGCCTTATCACTAAACAATGTACTCATTATTTTTAGTTTAAGCATGAACAGATGTGGGTTTTTATTTATTTATTTATTTAAACTAAGACCTACCATTATGAGAAGTAATTTAACAGCCATGCTGCTTTAGGACAAAGGATTCAATAAATGTTTATTGCAGTTGTTATATATTGAACGTGTGTCCTAAACTGTCACTTCTAAATTAACTGTTACTACTACTATTGACCTTTAACACAGTTTCTTAAGTATATAATTTAGAAGGAAAATTATCAACTATAATATAGCCATCAAAAACAGTTGTTTTAGTTGCTATATTTCCTTGGTATATTACAAGTCCTAATTACATATTCCATATGTTTTGTGAGGGCACACAATGTTAAAATAACTTTTTTGATTTTTTAGTTTAATAGCTTTAATGCCAAACAGCAAATATATTCAGAGTGAAATTTATCAACTATCATTTAAATGAACAAGAAAGAGTGTGACAAGTAGATGTACTAAAATTGTTTCTTTTAAATCAGGTAACTGCAGTACAAGTAGAAGTAGACTCTAATTGAAATGCATTTTCATGTATTCGGTTTATTCCAGACACAAGCTTTATGCAATTACCTTGTTAGCCCAGAATAGGAAAACATGAGAACGCAATACTTCTACTGACATTTGACAATTTAGATGTTATTGACATATATTGATTGATTGATTGCTTAAACTATGCAGATATTAAGATTTTTGGGGAGTAAAACTGTAAATCTGCCTGTGGGTTTTTGTTATATTATGATTTTTTTTGGTAGAATGTCATGCTTTCTCTTCCTTATAACACTTTCTTGTCTCATTATATCCTGTTATTTCATTTTCCTTGGCTCTCTCTTTTCGCCAATCCAGCTCCCAGTTTTTTTAGTAATTTAAAATCTTTCTCAGCTTAACAAATTTTCCTCTTCCTTCATTTTACTCTTTGTCTTTCTATTGTCCACATTCACTCTGTTTAACCTGACAGTCAATCCCGTAAAAAAGTTGATTTCTGTGATCTGAAATGCTTATCCTGAAACATCGGACAAATAAAAGACAATGCTGAATGTAACATAACATGATCTTTCCTCAGTTGTAACCACCAACATAAGTATATTTTCTTCTTTATTGCACCCCAGTCTTAAACTTACTTGATATTTTCATTCTGCTCCACTTCTCTAAATATTTTAACATTTATACTTATATTTTCCCATTGTTATTAATAATACTTAATAAGTCAAAAATTTTCTTATGTTTGTTCTTCTTTCCAAATATGAATACATTCTATATGACATTTTCAAGAGCCCTAGTTCTTGACATGCTTAATGGGTTAAAACTTAAAAGAGATTCATACCACAGCTATTATTTAAGAAACATTATAAAGCTGCTTTCTTCTACTGGTGGATTCAGTTCTTGAGTTTTTTATTTTTATTTTTAAATTTTTTTTATTTATTTTTTTTTGAGACGGAGTGTTGTTCTGTTGCCAGGATGGAGTGCAGTGGCGTGATCTCGGCTCACTGCAATGCCCGCCTGCCTGGTTCAAGTGATTCTCCTACCTCAGCCTCCTGAGCAGCTGGGACTACAGGCGCCCGACCCACGCCCGGCTAATTTTTTTGTATTTTGGTAGAGACGGGGTTTCACCATGTTGGCCACCATGGTCTCAATTTCCTGACCTGGTGATCCGCCTGCCTCGGCCTCCCAAAGCGCTGGGATTACAGGCATGAGCCACCGCGCCAGGCCCAGTGCTTGAAATGTTTAACGTTAATGAGTACTATAGCACTATCAACATGAAAAAGTTAGCAACTTGTCTGTCAGCCTTTTCAAAAGTATTTCCAGCTTAAAACATAATCTGAAGTATCTGGCATATAAATCGCTTACATTCTTTCGGTACAGTTTATTATTCTTAAATTGGACAGGATTAGGTAAGATGTTAAAACAGAGAACAATTGATTGTTCTCCAGGATAGTGGAGGATTGGGAATAGCTGAGAGAGAATATCAAAGGGTGAAGTTGTCACTTGTTGGACGTTAAGTTGAACGCTGAAGAGGCTACTGATTTTCTAATTTTGTTTGGGCATGACAATGGAAGAAAGAAAACTTTATTGCTCTCAACTTTCCCATGTACCTCCCATGATTTCACTTGGAGAATATCTTGCCTCTTCAACTCTGAATCCATGCCTGCATTTCCTTGTTTTTCTCATTATCCTACAATGTTGATTTGGTGTTTTCTAACAGGCGATATGGATATTTGAGAAAACATCTTGGCGGAAATGATTATAAACTTACCTCATGTCCAGCAGAGAAGACTGTTTCTACACACGACCACATCTATACTTAAAGTTTTTTGTTGGAATTAACTGCCGAATTCCAAAAATAGTTTTGGTAGTACTCACTTCTTTTTTCTGGGAAATATTGAGTCATATGGTGACTGATTGATTTTTCTTAATTTTTTTTACATATAGAAAAATTCACTCTTAAGATGGAGTGTTCACCTTGGTTTCAACTTTCCTAAAGTAAAATTTCATAAAGTAAGACTTGATTTTTTTTGCGTTGATGCATCAAGAACATATCTATCAAAATTAATTTGATATAATTTTACTCTCCCTTTTTCCCTATACCTGAAACCTCAATGTTCATTTTGTATCCTGGAACAACAACCAACAATAATTTGTGAAAGCAAAACTTGACTGAGTTCATTGGGATCATTTTCTGTGGCAATAATCTAACTTTTCTATCATAGTAACAGTAAAAATAAAACATTTTCAAAGTGTTAAATAAATTATTAATGATTAAAATGAACAAACAATATTATACACTTCTAATCATAACTGCATAAAAAAATTCTGACAGAATATACAAGAAGCTATTGTGAGTGTTTGTTGCCTGAGCAGGGGACTTGGAGCCTAGTCTGGGAGGAAAATAAATTGCCTTGTATACTCTTCATTGTTTTAATTTTTATTTTTTATTATTATTATTATTATACTTCAAGTTTTAGGGTACATGTGCATAATGTGCAAGTTTGTTACATATGTATACATGTGCCATGTTGGTGTGCTGCACCCATTAACTCGTCATTTAGCATTAGGTATATCTCCCAGTGCTATCCCTCCCCCATCCCCCCACCCCACAACAGTCCCCAGTGTGTGATGTTCCCCTTCCTGTGTCCATGTGTTCTCATTGTTCAGTTCCTACCTATGAGTGAGAACATGCAGTATTTGGTTTTTTGTCCTTGTGATAGTTTGCTGAGAATGATGGTTTCCAGCTTCATCCATGTCCCTACAAAGGACATGAACTCATCGTTTTTTATGGCTGCATAGTATTCCATGGTGTATATGTGCCACATTTTCTTAATCCAGTCTATCATTGTTGGACATTTGGGTTGGTTCCAAGTCTTTGCTATTGTGAATAGTGCCGCAATAAACATATGTGTGCATGTGTCTTTACAGCAGCATGATTTACAATCCTTTGGGTATATCCAGTAATGGGATGGCTGGGTCAAATGGTACTTCTAGTTCTAGATCCCTGAGGAATCGCCACACTGACTTCCACGATGGTTGAACTAGTTTACAGTCCCACCAACAGTGTAAAAGTGTTCCTGTTTCTCCACATCCTCTCCAGCACCTGTTGTTTCCTGACTTTTTAATGATTGCCATTCTAACTGGTGTGAGATGGTATCTCATTGTGGTTTTGATTTGCATTTCTCTGATGGCCAGTGATGATGAGCATTTTTTCATGTGTTTTTTGGCTGCATAAATGTCTTCTTTTGAGAAGTGTCTGTTCATATCCTTCACCCACTTTTTGATGGGGTTGTTTGTTTTTTTCTTGTAAATTTGTTTGAGTTCACTGTAGATTCTGGATATTAGCCCTCTGTCAGATGAGTAGGTTGCAAAAATTTTCTCCCACTCTTAGGTTGCCTGTTCACTCTGATGGTGGTTTCTTTTGCTGTGCAGAAGCTCTTTAGTTTAATTAGATCCCATTTGCCAATTGTAGCTTCTGTTGCCATTGCTTTTGATGTTTTAGACATGAAGTCCTTGCCCATGCCTATGTCCTGAATGGTATTGCCTAGGTTTTCTTCTAGGGTTTTTATGGTTTTAGGTCTAACATGTAAGTCTTTAATCCATCTTGAATTAATTTTTATATAAGGTGTAAGGAAGGGACCCAGTTTTGGCTTTCTACGTATGGCTAGCCAGTTTTCCCAGCACCATTTATTAAATAGGGAATCCTTTCCCCATTGTTTGTTTTTCTCAGGTTTGTCAAAGATCTGATAGTTGTAGATATGCGGCATTATTTCTGAGGGCTCTGTTCTGTTCCATTGGTCTATATATCTGTTTTGGTAGCAGTACCATGCTGTTTTGGTTACTGTAGCCTTGTAGTATAGTTTGAAGTCAGGTAGCGTGATGCCTCCAGCTTTGTTCTTTTGTCTTAGGATTGACTTGGCGATGCGGGCTCTTTTTTGGTTCCATATGAACTTTAAAGTAATTTTTTCCAATTCTGTGAAGAAAGTCATTGGTAGCTTGATGGGGATGGCATTGAATCTATAAATTACCTTGGGCAGTATGGCCATTTTCACGATATTGATTCTTCCTACCCATGAGCGTGGAGTGTTCTTCCATTTGTTTGTATCCTCTTTTATTTCATTGAGCAGTGGTTTGTAGTTCTCCTTGAAGAGGTCCTTCACGTCCCTTGTAAGTTGGATTCCTAGGTATTTTATTCTCTTTGAAGCAATTGTGAATGGGAGTTCACTCATGATTTGGCTCTCTGTTTGTCTGTTATTCGTGTATAAGAATGCTTGCGATTTTTGCACATTGATTTTGTATCCTGAGACTTTGCTGAAGTTGCCTATCAGCTTAAGGAGATTTTGGGCTGAGACGATGGGGTTTTCTAGATATACAATCATGTCATCTGCAAACAGGGACAGTTTGACTTCCCCTTTTCCTAATTGAATGCCCTTTATTTCCTTCTCCTACCTGATTGCCCTGGTCAGAACTTCCAACACTATGTTGAATAGGAGTGATGAGAGAGGGCATCCCTGTCTTGTGCCAGTTTTCAATGGTTTGGATATTGCAATAAAGGAAACAAATGATTTTTTATTCAAATAATGAATGATGAGGATTACTGAATAGCATATGACATGCAAACTATAGATTTGTGTCTTGACCAATAACAAAACTACCAGGAGAGTCATCAAACATATTCGTTTGCTGAATAACCTGCTTGTTTTCTAGAATGTGTACACTACACTACACATACACACACACACAGGCACACACATGTAGAGCTGCATTATAGTTCCAATATTTGCTAAAATATTGGTAGTCATTTTGTAAATTAATATGATATCATATATATATATATATATATAAAATACTTAAAAGTCTAAATCATGGACCTATACCATCATTATTTAGAAAAAACACGCTAACTTTTTTGATGATTGTATAAATGTATTTTTAATATTGATTATACTTCTGACTAGCTATTACTTTTGCTCATGAGAGACTAGACTCAAAAACAGTTGTCCAGTCCCATGCAGAGATAGTACGTGCCAGAAACATTGTAAGATACCACAAAGACTAATGGAGACTAAAAGCCTCACTCCTCTGTTGAAGGGATCATCTTGTCCCCTACCTCCTTAAAGATGGGTGAGCTGTGGCCCCTCTGGACAAACAGAGCCAGAGAACACTGTAAGCCACAGCATGACAACTTCTCTGCTTTCCTAGACCAAACCTACCTAGTTTTTTTTGAAAGAAATAGAAGATAGAGTCACTTTTCAAAGCTATTATGACATTAATGCCCTTTGGAGGTGAAATTCCTAGCAGATAATCTAAACAAAATGATCATATTTTAAACTACAAAGAATTAAAACATAGTCTATGTTGGGAAGAAAATGGGACTCACCAGTGGCACTCTCATAATGTTAATTTGATTGCATGTTGGCCTGCGTACAGCCAGATGTCCTCCTCTGCTATTGAGCACATTGAGAAATTAAGATTCCATGCATTTCTCTTATTGCTCCCTTGAAATGAAAACTTCTGTGCCTTTCTCACAGCCATAATCAAAGGCAAAAACTATACATCTATGTTAGTGCAGTCATCTTTAACAACAAAGATTGAGAGATGACAGTATTACTAATTTAATGATTGGTCTTGTATAAGGATAGCAATGATATTTTATTCCCTAAAATGTCAGCTGCCCATTGCAAGTGAACCTCTGAAAGTAACAGTTAAATTTTTTGGTAGGCTAACAAGTGCAGATACATACACAGCAAAGGAACAGTGCTCTTGGTTAATTATCTAGTCAGTAGTTACTTCAATATTCCCTACTAAGAAAGATATGTTTTTTAAAAAGTCAGAAAGAGCTTGAGTGGTCTTGGCTCCAGGAAAGAGGGTGTTAAAATGTAGAAATTTTGATGTATGTCTAGCAAAATTTTAGTTAAAATTAATTTTAAAAAATTCAGCCAATGGCCTACATAGCCAGCTGTCTGCAAAAATGCTTCTCTGTGAAATTTCAACTTGGTCACTTTAAGTTAAAATAAAACATTTAATATATCAACTTCATGTTTTACTTTTAAAAGTTTTAACTGGAAGAATTGGACCTTTTGGTTCCAAGCTATTTCCCACCCCTGTAAAGCTGAACAGATTAAGGGCTTTAATCATAAAAATGTGAATTTATTTATAATTAGAGAAACACTATGTATTCTGATTATCATCATACTTGCTAAAAAAGAACTAATGTAATTATATAATTACAGCTCTTTAATTCTATTAATACAGTGACATATGTTAACTTCTATTTAGATGAACTATTTCATTTGCCATAATAACCCCTTTATAATTACTTCAACTGTATTAATTGTGCAATTTACTCTAGACAGAGGAAGATGAGAGAAAATAGACAAGTTAGCATTGTGAGTATATTTAAAATACGCAAAGGAGGTATAATTTTCTTACTATAGGAAATGAAAATATGCAACACAGAATATAGCTATAGAGAATACGAATCAATAAAAACATAAAAATTTGAGTACGTGATTTTTCAGAGGAACCTTGAGACACTAGAGCATATCTGGAGGAGAGCCATCAAGAAGATAAGGGGAAAGTGATGTTGTAAGTAATTTTTAAATATAAATATGTCTAATCTGAAAAATTATGGATTTAGAATATGATTCTGAAATTACATATATAAATTAAATGACATATATAAATTAAATGACATATATAAATTACATATGCACACATGTATGTATTTATGTGTATATATATTTTTAATTAAACTTAATATATGTAGAAATGTCAGAGCAGAGGTCAAAACTAGTACAGAATGATTAAATTTATAGGAAGGCAATTTTTGACTTTTAATAAAGTATATTGTTCTAACAGCTGCTTTTATTTCTTTGATTTTTTTAATGTTTCCCTCTATTGTCCCACTCCTGGTTTAAGTCTCCATTGATTTTGCATTTGGACTAGTATAATAGCCTGCTTACTGATATCCATGCTTTAAGTTTCCCAACCTTAATGTTCATCCTTTATTCTGGTGTCACACAGAACTTCCTAAAATATAAAATGAGCACATCCTTTTCCCTTTGCCAAACTTCAGTTATTATCTTTCACCTAGAGGATAACATCAAAACTCTAAGACATACTGCAGGCCTTCACCATCCTTAAGAAATATATTTCAGGTGTTATTTTTCATCCTTCCAATCACTCCACACTTCTTACATGTAAGTTCTAGAAATTTGACTTATTTAGATTATCATGCACACTCACACATCTAAACATGTGCTATTTCTCTTATGCTTATTTGGACTACACTTTCTCCTTTATTTTTCAATTACCCAGCAAAAATTGTTTGAAATGTCGCTCAAATATTCTTTCTTTTATGTGGTCTTTTCTAACTTTTCAAAGAGATAGTCTCTCTCTACCTTCTGGAGACTTTATTCCATTGTGACACGTAACATACTATTGTCTAGTTATTTGCTTGTTGGTTCATCTCTCTAAGGAGATAGAGTGCTTCTGGCAACCAACACACCCAGTATTCATTTTGCTAATTGCAGCATTAATACAGTGTATTAGTCCATTCTCATGCTGCTATTAAAGACATACCTGAGACTGGGTAATTTATGAAGGAAAGAGGTTTAATTGATTCACAGTTCTTCATGGCTGGAGAGGCCTCACAATCATGGCTGAAGGTAAATGAGGATAAAAGTTACATCTTACACGGTGTCAGGCAAGAGAGTGTGTGCAGGGGAACTCCCCTTTATAAAACTATCAGATCTCATGAGACTTATTCACTACCCCGAGAATGACATGGGAAAGACCTGCCCCCATGATTCCATAATCTCCACCTGGTGCCGCCCTTGACACTTGGGGATTATTACAATTCAAGGTGAGATTTGGGTGAGGACACAGCCAAACCATATCAGAGAGTATCTGGAACATAGTTGATGCCAAATTGATCTTATTTTTTTAAGTGTAGCAAATGGAGGTACTTACGCAGGAAGTAGATGTTAGCTTCTCAGGGATGCTAAGAGGAATTGTCTATATTGATATGAAGATGGACTTGGAGTCTTCCAAGAACACTAGCAAAACATTAAGATTTTGTGGTTGCAGAGTATTTTATAAAAAAAGGTCATACACGCACAAACACACACTCAAAAATAACAATAGTAGCAAAAGGGTCTCTTTATAGAAAATCATTATAATAAAAATTTTTCTTGAAGTAATTTGTTCCAGAGACACAGCATGTTGGAAATTTCATATACTCTTTGTGCTTAATTGCAAATGGAAATCATTGAGAAAGAGCAAATAAGCATGATATTATATGAAATATAGATATTCATTGGATATTCTTGACTACCTAGTGTAGTAAAACTGAAAGTTTCAAAAATTTGAACAATTTGTTTACCGATGAATGGCACTGCATTTTTGACTCTATTAACGTTCATTGTTAAATAGAAAAAATAACTAGTGTTTAGTGCTTAAGAAAAAAAGGGACTTCTGTAAAAATCTTACAGAGTGAAAAGTGTTTATATCATGCCTTCTGAAACTAGATGTAAAAAAAAGAACTCTCAGAAATGTGTATCAGTCTGAAATAAAGGGGAAAGATACCACATTATTTGTTGGTTTTGATTGAGATCAGGTGAAAAATATATTTTTAAAGATAAATACTAAGATATAAGCACAACATAAAGATAACTGCATAAAATAAGTTTATATATTTAAGACATAAAATTCAAATTTGATTATATTATAGAATAGTATATTAATATGACTAAGTGGTTGTTAAACTGTGGTTCTCTGCCAGTCTTCTGTTTTATCCCTATACTTAGAAAAAATAATACGAATTACTTGAATTAAAAGCAACAATAACAAATCAATGTATTTCAACTTTTCTTGTGATCTGGAGAAATATTAACCCTGTGCTACATGGTTGAGCATGCTGCTCCAGCAGTCTAAAGTTGTTATTTCCATTGTACAAAATACATTTTTTTCTCTATCTAAAGAAGAACACATAAACCTTTTTCAGGAGAAGAGATGCACAGATGGAGGTGGACAGCAGCATCTTAACTCTTAAATTAGTTCTTTGCAGCTTAGTTCCCAGATGTTCGTTTCTTCTGCCCCCTGCTTTCTTGAAGAGAGTTTGCCATTGTCTGTCAATGAGTCATATAGTGTCTTCTCAAATTTGGAGAAAACACAAAGCTACAGTTGGATATGGTGTTAGTCACTGACAGACAATGGAAAGCTCCAAGATGATACACTCAGAGGTAACTTGCATTGTGAAGAAAATTGATCACTTATCTTTTGTCCTGACATCTTCTAAATACTCAGGGTTTTACTATGTTGTCAAAAATTCAGCCACCGAAAACAGGTATTCCACTCAAAATGAAAAATATTTTTTAAATACAAGTGTTCTTTTTCTTCCTGGAATTTTATTCACCTCCCACACTAGCCTTCATTTTTTACTGTATAGATGGAATGTCTTTTTCTATCCTCAAGGTGCATTACATTCATCTGACAAGACATAGAGATGAACAGCTTTTTACTGATTCTGTAGGTTCACAAACGGTGAAATAGGTCCCTCTGACACCATTGGGTCATCTGTACTATATTTCCAAGCAGCCTTATCACAAGATGGCATCATGAGAGCTGCACTGTCACCTTATGTCCACCAGAAAAAAACCATGACAGTCTCCTTTGGAGGCATGCAGTATATTAAAATGCAGATAATTTGAAAATTTCATTTTCCAACAATGAAACATTTAAAAACAGATACTATATGTATGGCTCATGCTATATCAATGTATACAAGGGGAACAACTAAATAATGTAATGTTATGATAGAGTTTATCATAAAGCAAAAATGTTCAAACATACAATTCATTTAGCCTAAAGAAATGACTGTACTTTACACTGAATATATTTAGATTTTTTAAAATGCACACAAAATTGCTGAAGTTCTAGCCTGTTTAAAAAAATTGGGGGTAATGGGACTACCACAAGAAAATATAATAGCTAATTTTTAGATATTTTAAAAGTCAGTCATAAAATAAAGGTTAAAATGCTTAGTGTCACTTAGAGGGAAAAGCTAAAACTATTGCGTGTCATTCACAGGAAGACAAACTTCAACACAATATAAATATATATTTTTTCTTATGAAAGAGCATGATGCCACACAGAGTAAGATCTTCCTGACATTGGCTAAAGAATTAGTTGCCCAACTATCTTAAATGCTTTGAGAGATTACTGAAATATAAACTCCTTAAGGGCAGAGACATTTGTATTTTGTTTTGCTTACTGCTGTCTTACTCTCTGTCCCTAGAACAATATCTGCCTGATGGTGGCACTTAATGTGTCTCATAATGAATCAAAAGAATTGAAGACTTTTAAGGTTTTAACATAAAATCTGTCATTTTGTCCTGAGAAATCACCTTTATATTCAGTGTCTTTGCTTATAACCATAGACTATACAAGAAAGCTAAAATAATTTTGATAGTAATTTAAAACCAAAAGATTTTTAAGGTAGCCAATATAAATTCATGAGAAACTTTGTTTAAATAGTGTCCAAAGTTGCCCTTAATTTTCTTTCATTTTATTTTTGTTCATATATTAATAGCTAAACATGAATTTTAAGTGAAATTCAGGGTAGAGGCACTAATCGTGGATGATCACTAATTCTGCATCTTGATTTTGATGTACCATATGCAAACTGAATATATATCTAGAAAATTTTTCACAAAATTTTTTTTCTATCAGATTGGCACTGTAGAAATAGTATTAGCTGTCTATTGCTGTGTGTCAAATTGATGCATAATTCAGCAAGAAGACAAAAACTCTACAATATCTCACACAATTTTGGAGAGTCTGGAATCCAGGAGCAGCTTTAATGGGTAATTCTAGCACACAAGGTTGCAGTCAAGCTGTTAATCAGGACTACAGTCATCTCAAGGCTTAACTGGGGCTAGAGAATTTGTTTTTAAGCTCACTCATGTTGTTGTTGGCAGGCCTCAGTTTCTGAGTTCTGTGCTGCCTGTTGGCCAGAGGTTGCAGTTCCTCACTACACGGGCTTCTCACAATGTAAGAGATGGAGTGAGCCCAAGATGGTTGCAATTTTATAACCTAATCCCTGAACATCATTACATATAGCGTGTTATTAGTCACACAAATTATCCCTCGTACAGTATGGGAGTCTGAATACCAGGATGTAGAGGCCATTGAGGATCATCTTGGAGACTGATCATTGCAGAAATAATTTGATCTATAATTTGTTAGTTACTTCTAAACACAATGCTTAATTACACATACAAATTAAAGACAACAATTTGGAAACCATGATGGGGAAAAGAAGGCCAAGAATTTTCTCATTTAGCTGTCTAAATAGATCAAATCCTGGAGCTCAGGTTTATCTGATTTGGTTAAAATTCATTTTAGTCAAAAGTTATTTGCTTTTTTAATAAATAGAGAGGTATAAAAGAGATAGTCATTTTATTTCATGTTGTGATGTTACATTCTTTGAAAGAAATAAAGATTGAAATGATTACTACAACAGTCAAGGGTGTCAAAACAACATCTTTCAAGACCTGTCTTGCATCCTCATCGAAAGGTCTGAGTAGTTGAAATAACTGGAGGACTAATTCTAGAGCTTTTTCTCCTGTAAGGAATACAGGTAGTATTAAAATATCACCTTCATGGTTATTAATATAGTCAAGCTGACAAGAGTGTTATTTTAGCATGGGTCAGAGGCAAAGTTTGCTTCAGTTTCTATTCACATGCAACAATTCTTTGGCAATTTTTCTAGAAACGCATATTATCCTCAAATATAATATCCTTGGAAATAACAGCCACAGAACAAAATGCTGGATTACAAAACATTTTGAGCTCTGGTGGGAACAAAATTTGCAAGGAAAGTACAAAGTGTTATTAACAGCAGATTCATGATTCATTCCAATTCCCTCCGGGAATCCTTTCCTCTACCCCAAGAGAAGAAATTTCCAATGAAGAAAAGGCAGAGGACCCAGCTGTTACATCTAGACTATGTCCCGGGGATTAAATCTCTTCTGGGCTCCAAGGAGCACAGGGATCCTCTCTCTGCCAGGATTCTTAGTTTTCAACAACAAAAAATTGTCTCTGAAATATTTAAGTGGAAAAAGGCATTTGCTAAACATAAAAAAAAAAAAAAACTGGGCAGCTCAGAAAATTCTTAGGAGGTCTGGCGTATTGGGCTTGAAGATAGGCAGCCAACCATACCAACTACATAAAGAAGAGAGAAATAAGGAAACATGGCTTCCAAAATTAATAATAATTTTTTTCAACGTTTGGCATATAGTCATATGTCATAGCTAAAGACCATGTTCTAATACATGTAAACAGAGAAATTATCTGTACATTGATTCTTCAACATGCACTCAACAGATACACATTAAACTATGGGCCAGGTATTAGAAATAGAGTTGTTAGAGAAATTCAAAGTTCTTACCCACATGGAGTTTATATTCTAATGACTTTAATCAGTTAACATCTTACTTACACTGCTTTTTTCAACTAAAATTTCAACTACATTCACCTCATTAAGTTTACTGTGCCCCTACTATACGTTATATTCCAGCCTCTATGGGGTTGCTGAAAATTGTGGAAGCCAGATCCTTATCTGGACTTCATCAATATAATCCCATAATATCAGACAGTATAAGAATAACAGGATCCTATGTAAGTATTAAAAAATTTGACAATAAAATGATACGCAAAACGTTAATTTCAGGATTTGCTAAAAGTCATTTTATGGTATAAAAAGCAGCTAATCCAAATCTTATTTTTGGCCTTTACATGGAAAAAGTTTCTGTAATTGGAAAAGTCAGTCTTTGTGGATATATTACACATAGCCAATAGTTCAATAAGTCTCACTTTTCTATAAACTAATGAAATGTTCTATATGAAGGATAGTACAATCTGTATAATTTTAGTAGATCCTTTGTAGATTATATAATCAGTTTCACACATGTTAGAGGGAGGCATGATTCTTTTCTTTAATCCTTTATTTACTTGAAATTGAATTAAAGTCGGTTGGAATCAGCTGATGAAAGCTCTTTTGGAAAGTTGGAAGCTGAGGGACAGAATGTTATGAGGGCTCTTAGGTTGGGAGGGAAATTCATTACATTTGACTCATGATTTTCTTATAGTAAACTAAAACAGGATGTTATTTCCCACAATGTATCAACTATTTTTGAAGGATAATTGTTTAGCAGCTCACCAAATTCTGGGACATATGGATGGCTTAGAAAGTTGAGGGAGAGATAAGTTACTTTAACGCTGAAAAATGCGAGATGTCACAATTTTTTAAAATGTATCAATCTAACCTAGGATAATTAAAAAGCCATTTTGTAAAGCAAGAAATTTATCCATCTAACAGCTATATCATGGGAGAAGAAAATTTAGAAACACTCCAAAATTGAGTGATACGCATAAACAATTTTCCATATAATCCCACCACAACATCTTCTCACCCTCTCTTATCTCTGCCTTCCTTCTTGTTTCTGGGAGAAAAAAAGTTGGTGATCTTAGCAAAATTCAGCCTCTTGTGCATCATACATAATTCCCTTTCATCTACTTAAGGGTATATTTCTAGTATTTTTTTCTAATTGATTCTTGTGTTATCATATGACATGCCTTAATCTCTCCGATAATAATAGTATCACACACTTTCTTGATTTTTTGTTTGTTTGTTTTTATTTTTTTGAGACAGAGTCTCACTCTATTGCCCATGCTGGAGTGCAATGGCGGGATCTTGGCTCACTGCAACCTCTGCCTCCCAGGTTCGTCATTCAGCCTCTCAAGTAGCTGGGATTATAGGTACGCACTACCATGCCTGGCTAAGTTTTGTATTTTTAGTAGAGACGGGGGGTTCACAACGTCGGTCAGGCTGGTCTTGAACTGCTGACCTCAGGTGATCCACCTGACTTGGCCTCCCAAAGTGCTGGGATTACAGGTGTGAGCCACCGTGCCTGGCCTACACACACTTTCTTGAAGCCCCACTTTCCCTTCAGTTCCAAGCACATTTCTCTGTTTCTTTTTATTGCACAATTCTTCAAAAAGTTGTTTCAAAGTCCTCTCCTTGGGTTTACTCTTCAGCTTACACTAATATTCCTTTTTGCCCACATGGTTCCGTTAAAACTACTCCTGTCAAGTCCACCAATAGTATCTATAATACTAAATCCAATAGGCAATCGTCAGTCCTTATGTTACTTGACTTCACAACATTAGATGAAGTTTATTTCTTTGAAATGCCATATACTCTGCTGATCCCCTTCCTTCCTTTATTGCTCAGTTATTTCCCTAAAGTTTCAATGGTAGCCAGACCTTGGACATCTTTTCTTTCTCATTTTGCTCACTTCTTAGGGGCTTTCATACAATCTTTTGGCTTTAAAGCCATCTATTTGTTGATGACTCCCCAAATTCTATCTCCAGTCTAAACATCTTCCCTGAATTTCAGAGTTCTAGCTATTTGTCTACTTCACAGTCTTGGATGTCTTTTGTTTGTTCTGTGTCTATTAAAGACATAAGAGACTTAACAAGTTCAAAAGCCACTCCAAGCCTTTTCTTCTAAGCTTTCTCCCATGTTTTTTCCTGACCTCAGGTATGGCAAGTCCATCCTTCTTAGGCCAAAACTTTGGGGCTATCATTCAGTTCTTCTTGCCACATACATTTGATGCAGTAGCAAACCGTGTTCCCTCTACCTTCCAAATATATTCAGGATCTGACTATTTCCCACCACATCCATTGCTACCACCCTTCCCCACGCCACTACCTCTCCCACTTGAGTTGTTACTAGAGTCCAAAAGTTGACTTGATCCTTATGCCCTTGTCACCCCCCACTTACAATTTATTTTCCACACATCAGATAGAGCTATCCTTTTAAAACATAAATAGGATCATGCTACTTCTTTGATAAAAACATTGCCTCTTACTCAGATAGAAGACTAGGTCATTGTAATAGCCAGCAAGTTCCCAATTTCAGTGCTTCTTGACATAAGCAAATTAAAATCACCTGGGCAGCTTTTGAAAGACACCAATATCAGGGTCTCTTACTCAGAGATTTTAATTTAGCAATTCTTGTATGGGATCTGGACAATGATATTTTTAAAATGTTTTGTTAGGTAACTGTATTAGTCTGTTTTCATGGTGCTGATAAAGACATATCTGAGACTGGGAAGAAAAAGAGTTTTAATTTGACTTACAGTTCCACATGGCTGGGGAGGCCTCAGAATCATGGCAGGAGGAAAAAGTACTTCTCACACGGCGGCAGCAAGAGAAAATGAGAAAGAAGCAAAAGTGGAAATCCTTGATAAGCCCATCAGATCTCGTGAGACTTATTCGCTATCACGAGACTAGCACGGGAAAGACCAGCACCCAGGATACAATTACCTCCCCCTGGGTCCCTCCCACAACATGTGGGAATTCTGGGAGATATAATTCAAGTTGAGTTTTAGGTAGGGACACAGCCAAACCATATCAGTAACTATCAAGTGCAGCTTGGATTGAGAACAATTGTATCTCACTTTCTGGGCCCACTATCTCTTTGAACTAAATCTTTTCCTCCTAGATCATTCTGCTTTAGTACCATTTGGCTTCTCTGATATCTGAAAAACACATCAAACATTTGTGTACCTCAGAGTCTTTTCATCTGTTTAGGTTTTCCCCATAATTTCATTACATTTTGACCTTGTGTGTTTGGTGTATTTATTTTCTGTAACAATTCAATAGAATATAAACTCCAGGAGGGCTGGAATTGTTTTTCTGTGTTGGTCACTGCTGTATCCTAACCCATAGGACAGTTTCTTGTCCATAATACACTCCCAAAAATATTTGTTAAATATATGGTCTATTTTTAAATCCTTATCCCAATACAAAATGTGAAATACATGACATTTTTTTAAAGAAATTTGGGCTTGGGGAAGTGGCGATCAAAGTGTTCTCTCTTTTTGATGTATTGATTTGAGCCACTAGTTGAATACCTATATGAAAATGTCCATCAGGAAGACGAAAATATGACTGTATTTATGAGAGAAGTCAGGGGTGTAGGGACAATTTTGTTACCTGTCCAATTAGAGTTGATGGCTGAAGCCACAGAAAGTGGTTTAGAGTCCCACTGAAGAGCATTTAGAGGGAAAGGGTTATTGATACAGAAAATACACATGTAGAAAATATACCAGCATTCATAAAAGGTGAAAGAAATCAGTGAAAGAGGCTGAGGAGCTGTGGAGGGTCTCTCTACTCCCCTGGCCAAAATGCCCCAGTCTCTTTCATTGGGCCCTCCCGTTTCTCATGATCACTGAGTGCAGATGCCAGGAATGAGCTGCACATGTAGTATTCCTTGCTCTTTCCCTGATGCAGTATCAGATAAGTGAAGTTATTAGAGGCCTATACAGTTGTCTCAACTTCCCTGTGTCAATAAGGGACAAATAAATATTCTCCTTGGTATTACAGAGATGAAGTCTGGGAATGCATCTTGTGAATTTAGCCTGTACTTTGAGTTCTTGTGAGGTAGTAATGCCACTTTGTATTCAAAATGGAGTTTAGCTGATAAGCATCTGCAGAGACTTCACAGCACCCTCTGCAGCAGGGAAATGTGGAGTGGAAGGTGCTAAAACTGTAATTAGAACAAGGCATCTGTCTCCCAGCTCCTACAGAGCAGCTACTAATCAATGTGATCACTTGCTTTGAGTGGGGAAGTGCTCACCCATGGCTCTGCTGGACTTTTTCCCAGCCACTAGCAGACTGGATATTGGTAAAGATTACCATTGGCTCTGGAGAGATAGAAGAAAGTATTAGTGCTTGGGAAAAGCAGCAGTTTTAAAAGGTGTTTGGTAGGGCATGTGTTGATTTCGATTTCCTGTCAATCGCATATTTCCAGAATAATCTGGAGGCCAATTATTACTAAAAGTATAGCTCATGCTGAAGCATTTGCAGGCTGGTTATACAGAACTTTTTTGATTTCCTAGTCCATATGTTTACTTGCCCTTAGGACATTTTGCTCTTATTTGGCAGTTTTCCTGCCAAATAAAAAAAATCCACTTAATGCAATCATATCAATTTGATATCTATTACCAATTCTGATTTGAGCAGCATTTTTCAATGTATGATCTGTAGAATACTTCTTTAAAAATCGCCTTTAAAAATGTTTCTTTAATTCAATATTCTGGATAAATGCTACATATTATATCCCCCCTTTTAAAAATTCACAGTACACACTGGGGTATTAAAGGCTTCTAGCTCTCTTGCAAAAAAGAAACTGGTTTTAACTGTGTTGAACCTAGCATTTCCCAAACTTATTTCTTTAGAGAGTTTTTCTTTTTCTTTTTTTAAGACATAAAACAGAATTAATGTTCCAGAGAAAAGACTTTAGTAAAAGCTAGATTAAATATTTCTTATCATTGACGTTTAAATTATGCCTAAAATGAGGTCCAGAGATTTCCTGAGAATTTCTTCATCCCATTCTCTATTACTACTGATAATTGCATGTTATGTAATCATTCAGGATAAGTCAGCCAGGATTCCAGCTCATTCTTCTGCTCAAAAGAATAAAAATAAAAGCCAGTCCTTTTATCATAATCATCAGTTCATTTAAAAGTTGACTCTGTTCTCACCCAATTTAGCCCCAGCAGACACAGACCTGGTGCATAGCCTATGTCCTGCACAGACTTTGATAACCTGTGTCTCTGAAGACTACCCAGGCAGACTAAGCCTTCTCCTCCTTGAACTCTTCACAGTGGGGAATGTTCATGGCCTAATGACATATAGTATAGCTTCCCAAAAAGCTGAAAAGAAAGATTCACTCATGGACACATTAGGTTATATTCTTATGTAAAGATTTAAAATACAGGAATAAATAACAGCATATTATAAATGTCTGGAAATAAAATATAAATATAGTTTAAAAGATTAAAAAAAGCCCAGGGAAACAGATAGTAGAAAAAGTATGATCAATGATTGCTATAACATTACTTAAATATCTAACTGCATGTGGTGGAATGCTACACAAAAGAATTATTAGGCTTTTCTGACATACAAAACTACATGGCTCAAGACAGAATGAATCAGTATGAAAGGTAAAGAAC
Source organism: Homo sapiens (assembly GCF_000001405.40). Taxonomy (NCBI): domain Eukaryota; kingdom Metazoa; phylum Chordata; class Mammalia; order Primates; family Hominidae; genus Homo; species Homo sapiens. Next base: position 192,252,630 of record NC_000002.12, read on the forward strand.
CTTGGGGAGGCCAGAACAAATATGTGGGTACTTCATTGGGAGGGATGAAGAGAAGATTAAGGAAAAGTCATCAAATGATTTAAAAATTATATTTTATAGCTGAAAAAATCAGTTATAAGGATATGTAATTTTTGCTTTTTTGCCCTAGAAAAATGATGACTAACAGGATCTTCCTTTTGTTTTACCAAGTGAGGAGATGTGTGAGTTACAGAGAGAAGGCTTCTCCTTGTTGCTAGTCTTTAGATGACCTGGAAGAATAAAATGTCCTACAGATGGTTTGCATTGTGCATGCAGTGGTGGGAGAGAAGGAGGCAGAATAATTAGAGGGAAAAAAGACAACGAGAGAGAGAACTTTAGAAGGCTAGAGATTACTAGAATACATATAAATGTGTTTGTATATATACATGTGATGTGTGTGTATGTATGGTTAGCTTAGTAACATGTTGTGTAGCTCTCTCTTCTCTATGTCTTAAAGGGCTTTTTAGAAGACAAACAAACATTTTTAGTGCTTGCCTTCTGCAGTCAGATATGGGATGATATACTGCCAAAAAAAAAAAGGCCCAAGGGCTTTTGGTTTCCACTTATATATGAAACAATAGGAATTATATTGAGATGCTTTAATATTCAACAGATTAAAAGAGCAGTGAAAAAGAAGAACCTGTAATGTTTTATTGCAAGAGATACCTCCATAAAAAAGTTATCTGAAAAAGAAGAAAAAAGTTATCTTCATTTTACCTTCTAAAATAAAGATTAATACATGTTTGTAGGCAAATGCATGTTTTATATCATTTTAATTTATATTTATTCAACGAAGTTTATACGAAATGATTTCATCTATGGTTTTTATGCCACTGGTAGGTGTTTTTGAGGTGTAGACTGAAGGTAGTAAATACTCATTTGTTGTTCATAGACTCTACCAGCTTTAAAAATATACTTGCTTCTGCATGACTGCCAAGCTTTGCTGATCATTTTTCCACATTCATAGTCAACCTTCTCTGCATAGAATGGTGATTTTATTAGTTAGGGTTCTCCAAAGAAACAGAACCACTAGGATGTATACATATATACAGAAGAAGATTTATTTGAAGGAATTGATTTACATGATTATAAAGCCTGGCACGTCCCCAGATCTGTAGAGTGGGCCACGGGCTGGGGTCCCAAAGAAGAGCCATGCTGCAGTTCAAGTCTAAAGGCCATCCGCTTTGTAAAAGAGGATAAAAGGTAATGAGAATGCAGGAAGATAATGGTGATGTAATCAAAATAAACTATAGGAAGTGAAAACTACATGTAATTAAGATAAGAAAAAATAACAAACTGTGATTGGCAATAAAAACTGTAAAACATGCTACTGAGAGTTTTTTCCATATTTGGCTTTATACATATGAAGAATAATATTCATGTTACACACATGGACACACACACACACACACACACACACAGTAGTCTTTCAAATAATAACGAGTGAAATAAAAATCAACTCTATTTACCAGCAAGAAGCATACACATGCATTTTTAGGCTGCTGACTCTCTTGTTTTACTTGAAGAACTCATTATATGTTCCTTTATTTCCCTACCACACTCCTGGAAAGAGAAATTTTACCATGTTATCGTAGGCTCATATAAATCCAAGATAAATTCTGGATCTAAGTAAATAGGATTTAAGTGTCATCTTGCCAGTAGAAAGTGGGATTGTGTGAATTTTTCCACCATTTCAACAAATGCTGTCAAAAACATCCTACTTTGATATTCTCAAACTAAAAGACTTAAATTCACTTAATGCTTTTGAAGAGACAGTCTCTATTGCCTTAGGGAACATTCTGTGTTCTTTCCTCATCACAACCCTAGTCTCCATAGGATGTCTATTTTATTCTCAAATTGCACTGTCTTTATTCCATTTGCTTTAAACTCTCCAATAGTTAGGGTGTCCACAGCAGGACGCAGTAGCTACTTGTTCTAAATCTGTTCAAAATCCTTCCATCCTAACTGCTGGCACGGCTGGGTCTGGTGCCAATCAGACAGTTCATTGTTCCTGGTAGCTCACACAGCTGCTCATCAAATACACAGCTGTGGCACTGACCTTTAATAATATTATTCAAAGAATCAGTCTAATTTTATGAAACAGGCATGTCCTCATTTTAAATTCCCAAGGATCTTCTACTGGCTTTGTAATTGAATCTATATTTTGTTAAACCGTCAAGGAAGTTTTTATCAACAATCACATTTTATATTAGTAAAACTTGCCTAGGACCTCATACAATGCCAGCTAATATAATCAGGATCACAATGGTCTTCTGGCGTTATGAAATTCAAGAAAAGTAAAACAGAAGGGGCTTAAGCGACTTGAGAAAATGTTCATATGTTGCAATCTCAGCATTTCTGGAAACTAGAACAATTATTATTAGAAGGCCTGTCTAGGATATGGTTTGAGGCAAAAGAAAATAAGTCTGCTATGTATTGAAACAAGAGATTTTTAGGTAATTGGGCATCTATCATCGTCCAGGTCACACTTAAATATTTTAAAGCGTATTTTATAACTCCACAGAATTTTGTGAGGTGCTTTTTAAGTTACATGACTATTCAATGAATGCATATTCCTTAGGCCCATAACTTCTTTTTAAACTTAATTTTTAATTATCATACACTAAAATAGACTATTTTGGTGTGCAGTTATATGAATTTTAACACATGCATAGATTTATGTAATAATCACAATCAGAAGACAGAACTCTTAAATCACCCTAAAATACTTCTTCATGCTGTCTGCTTATAGTTACATTTTCCCCACCTCCCTACTCTTAACCCCATCTCTATAGCTTTGTGTTTTCGAAAATGCCATATAGTTGTAATTGTACATAAGTGTGACCTTTGAGAATGGCTATCTCACTCAGCACAATGCCTTTGAGATTTATCAATAGCTTGTCCCTCTTGTCATTTTTTTGTTGCTGAATACCATTCTATGTATGGCTTTACCAGTTTTTCCATTCAAATATCCTCGGACATTTGGGTTGTTTCTAATTTGGGGCAATTATAAAGGGAGCTGCAATTACAAATTTGTGTATAGATTTTCATGCAAATAATGTTCTCTCTTTTCTTGTCTAAATACCCAAGTATCATGATTTGGTAAGGATATTTTTAACTTTATAAAACATTGCCAAATTACTCTGTAGATAGGCTGTACCACTTTGCATTCATATCATCAATGTATCAGAGTTCCAGTTGTTCTTCAGGCTCATCAGTACTTGTTATTTTATCAGTACTTGGGTATTGATTAGTTAAGCCATTCTAACGTGTATAATGATATCATATGGTGGTTTCAATCAGCATTTCCCTAATATTTTATGATGTTGAACAACATCCACATGCTTATTTGCCATCCATATAATCACTTACATGAAGTATCTGCTCAAGTCCTTTGCTCATTTTTTAATTAGGTTATGTGCTTTCTTATTTTGAGTTTTTGCTTTCTTGAAAGTCGCATATATAGTTTGACACAGGTTCTTTGATAGATATGTAATTTGCAAATATTTCTCTCAATCTATAGCTTGTATTTTCGTCTATGTATTTCATAGAGCAAAAGTTTGTTATTTTGATAAGTAATTTTAACAATTTTTTATTTTGTGGATTGTGCTTTTAGTGCTACGTCTAAGATTTGCCTGATCTCAGGTTATGAAGATATTCTCTTACATTTTTTCCTAAAAGTTTTAAAGTTTTATATTTTAAATTTACATATATAATCAATTTTGAGTTATTTTTAGTATAAGATGTGAGATTTAGGTTGAGATTTTTTTGTATGCAATTTGTTGAAAAGATTATCTTTTCCCCATTGAATTGCTTTTACAATCTTGTAAAAGACCAAATGGCCATATTTTTGTCATTCTATTTCTGCACTTGTTATTCTGGTCCATTGATCTATGCATCTATCCTTCTGCCAATACCACACTGTTAATTACTAAAGTCTTAAAGTTAGGTAGTGTGATTTCTCCATGCTTACTTTCATTATTCAAAATTGTCTATTCTAATTCTTTTGATTTTCCATATAAATTTTAGAGTCAGCTTGTCTATATCTATAAAAAATTCTTCTCAGTTTTGACAAGAAGGTCATTGATCAATTTGGGGAAGATTTGTCTTTTATTATGTTAAGTCTTCTAATCCCTAGACATGGTATGTCTCTTCATCTATCTAGGTGCCTTTTTATTGCTTTTGTCATAATTTTGTAGTTTTTAGCATATGGGTCCTGTGCATGTTTTGTTATATTTATATATTAGTACTCCATTTTTTGGAACCATTGTAAATGGTACTCTGTTATTTTTACTTTCCAATCATACCTTGTTTTTATAATAAAATATTATTTATTTCTGTGCATTGATCTTTTGTTCCCCGACTTTGCCAAAATTACTTATTAGTCATAGGAAATTTTTTATTTCTTTAATTTTTATTCATTTATTTCAGATTCCTTGGGTTTTCTAATATTCAATCATGCCATTTGCAATTAGGAACCATTTTATTTCTTCCTTTGTGTTTTGTATGTTTTTATTTGTTTATTTATTTGTCTTATTTTACTGGTCAGAAACTTTAGTGATTGTATTGCCATATTTTCAGATTACCATCATATATGTTGAATAGAAGTGGTGAGAGCAGATATTATTGTCTTGTTCCTAATTAGTACTCTTATTTTTTTCACTAGTAAATATGATGTTTACTGTAGATTTTTGTATGTCTTTGTTAAGTTTAGAATGCTTCTTTCTATTCAAAGTTTTCTGAGAGTTTTAATCACAAATGTGTTCAGCATTTTGTCAAATGCTTTTTCTACACTGATTTATAGATTGGTGCAAAAATAATCACAGTTTTTGCCATTGTAATGCAAATGCCAAGTAATGAAAAAAACCCCAATAACTTTTGCACCAACCTAATATATGATAATGCAATTTCTTTTTCATTAGCCACAGTGTGGATCACACTGATTTTTAAATATTTAACTGGACTTGTATTCCTGGAATACAATCCGTGTTGTCATGGTTTATAATTCTAGGCACATAGTGCTGAATTTGATTTGCTAATAATTTGTTAAGGATTTTTGCATCCATATTCTTAAGTGATATTCCTCTGTAGTTTTATTTATTCCTCCTTTTTTTGCACTCTCTTTGTTTGGTTTTGCTATCAGTGTTTTACAAAATGAGCAGGAAAGTGTTCCTTCTTCTGTTCTGGAAGCAATTGTGTAGAATGTGTATAATTGATGTTAATTCTTTTTTTTTTTTTTTTTTTCAAACTTAGTAGAATCCTTCAGTGAAACCATCTGGGCCTGGAGGTTGACTTTTTAAGACTATATTTTAGAGCAGCTTTAGATTCATAGGAAAATTGAGGAAAAGGTATAGATATTTCTCATATACCCCCATTCCTTCACATACATAGCTTCTCCCATTATTAACATCCCCTACCAGAGTGGTCCATGTATTACAATTCATCAACCTATATTGACACATCATAATCACTCAAAGTTCATAGTTTACATTAGGCTTCACCTTCAGAGTTGTGCATTCTATGGATCTGGACAAATGTATAATGACTTGTGTCCACCATTTTAATATCGTTCAGAGCATTTTCCTTGCCAAAAGCATTCTCTGTGCTGTGCCTGTTCACCTCTAACTCCACTGCTCCTCCCCACTGGATATTTCTTTTAAATGATAAATTTAATTTCTGGAAGAGTTGTAGGGCTTAAAACAGGAATTTAAAAAATCTCAGTTTCTTTGGTTCAGGAGACCAGGCAGGGCATAGTAGGGTCCTCTGTAAGGCTGTAATCAAAGTAATTCTCTGGGTTGTAGTATCAACTGAAGAAGAATCTGCTTCCTTGGTTGGAAAGTGGTTGTGGGTCTGTGGGTTGTCAGACTGAGGGCTTCAGTTCCTTGCTGATTGTTAGCAGAAGTTCATCCTCAGCTTCTTTGCCACGTGGTCCTCTCAAGTCAGGCTACAACATAGCAACATTTTTTTTTTAAGCTATCAAGGGAGAGACAATTTCCTCCCAGGAATAGAGTTCCAGAAATATATAACATAATCATACACATTCAGCCACTTTTGTTGTATTCTACTGGGCAGAAGTAAGTCACAGGCCCCATTCACACATAAGGGAAAAGGATTATGCATGGACATCAATATAAGGAGGTGGGGATTTTGGGACCACTTTAGAATCTCTTCACCATATCTATCTTTATCATCACATTTGAAGTAAGTTTTTTTGTGCGTACCATATACTTAGGCCATATATAGTCTTACATTATGGCATCTTTGCCTTTTAATTGTTGTATTTAGATTAATTGCATTCATTGTAATTATTCATGTGTTTGGATTTAGATTTGTTATTATGATACCTGGTTTCTATTTGTCCATCTGGCTTTTCTTCCTGTTTTCTTCTTTCCCAGCTTCTACTGGATTATTTGAATTTTCAGTTTTCCATTTTAACATATCTGTTATTAATCTAATTATGTATTATTTTAGTGGTTGCTTTAAGACTTAATTTCCACAGGGTACATTAAATTAATACTTCACCACTTCAAATGGGATGTAGAAATATTACTATCATGTAGGTTATCTTACCTTCTCTTCTTCATGTTATAGTTGCCTTATATTTTACTTCTGCATACATTGAAAACAGCATCAAACTGTTATAATCTTAGTTTTCAACTGTCAAACATTTTAAAGAACTTAAGAGGATTTAAGTAGTTTATTTTATTTACTAACTGATTTAACATTTCTGTTTCTATTGCTTCATTCATGATGTTCCAAATTTCCTTCTCATTGCAGTTCCCTTTTTTCCAAATAACTACTTTCAGTTTTTTCTTTAGACCATAACTGCAAGCAAAATTATCTTATTTTCCCTTTATTTGAGAATATCTATTTCAACTTCATTTTTGAAGGATTTTTTTCTGGATAAAGAATTCTGATTTGACAATTCTCTATTTTAGGATTAGAAAAAATACTGTGCCATTTTCTTGAGTTCTCCTTGGCTTCTCATGAGAAATATTCAGTTATTTGAATGTTTGTTCCTCTCTAAGCATTGTGTTATCCTAGGCTGCTTTTAATATTTTTCCATTTTTGATTTTAGTCCATTTTATTATATTGAGTATCATTATGGTTTTCTTTGGGTTCATCATCTTTAAGGCTCACTGAGCTTCTTGTATCTGCAAGTTTATCTTTTCCATCCAGAGTTTAGAAAATTTATTTTACTATTTCTTCCATTATTTTTTCTGTCTCAAAAAATATTTCCATCTGGTACTAATTACACATATTTTATATCTTCTGATATTTTTCCACAGATCACTGAAACCCTGTTTTCTAAAACTTTTTTTCAGCTCTTTATTTTGGATAATTTATATGAATCTAATTTTAAGTTCAGTTGTGCCTGCTTCTGTCACCTTTATTTGCTATTAAGCCCATCCAGTGAATTTGTAATTTCAGATATTGTACTTTTCCATTCTGGAATTTTCATTGTAATATTTTTTTCATTTCTATTTCACTTTTGAGAGTCACCATCTATTCATTTATTAAAGTCATATTTTCTCTGTCTTTAAACATAAAATATAGCTATAAAGTCTTTATCAGGTAATTTCAATATTTTAAATCACCATAATGTTTGTTTCTAATTGATGCTTCAATATTCAAAATAATTTTAGACTGTATTCTAGATATTAAGTTAATATTTGTAGAAACTCTGGATTTTTATTGATTTTTGTTCTGCAAGGCAGTTAGCCTGTCAGGTGACACATTCTAAACTCTATCTCTTCAGGAGTGGGGAAGCTGAGATCTGTGCTCCGTTCTTTCCAATTACTTTCCTTTGAGCCTCTGTGAATTTCTCCTGAGCACGAATGCTTCAGGTGTCAACTCAGGATTGGGTCAGGGTCTATATACAGATTTTGGGGCTGGAACCTATATAGCTCTCTATTCTATTACTACCTTCCACCATGGATCAAAATTGATTGCAGAAATTTTATACTTTTAATTATTAAATTATTTCATGCATTGTAGATAAAAAAAAAAAGAAAGCACACGCACACAGGAAGACATAATAATGTTGAAGCAAGTACACTTGCTTTCTAAACATGGCACTCAAGACAGAAGACTGAAGAAATAACATTATGGTTTAAATTCATTGTCTTAGTTGAATAAATTTATTGAAGTTAAATGACCTTCTTTAAAAAGTTTTACTTTCCCATGTATAAAACAAAGATAATAGTAAGTATTATTTAGTAAAGCTGTGGTTAAACTAAACAAGATAAAATATATAAAGTATTATTAAAGTGTTTGGGAACAGTTAGCCCTTCACTATTGTTCACTACTATTTATTGATTTAATATTTAAAAAATTCAAACTGTCTGTTTCCAAGTACTGTAAATAAAATTAAAAATCAAAGGCAAAATTAGGATTATATTTTTGTAATCTTACAGAGAAAAGATAAACACAATTTACATATAAAGATATGTTATTAATAAATAACAGCTCAGGAAAACATCAATAACAAAAATTGCAGCCCTAAATGAATAATAAACATATAAAATTAACCTTAATATTAAAGAAACAAATCAAATTAAACATCAATCTAGTACAATTTTCTGCCTACCAAATTGGCAAAGGTTAAAGGGAAACAAAATGACATATTAACATAATATGTGGATAAAATACTGGAAGTCCACAGCAAATAAAACCATTTAGATCCTTTACTTAATTAATGAGTCTATGAATATTATTCAAATAGCATGCATAATCTTCTTGGCTAAACTGTCCTGCCATAAAGGCAGGGATCAGTTCATTCTTGTCAATGCCTAATACAGCACTATTTACTCTCTCTATATATAGTATATATAGTAAATATATATACATATATATGTGATATATATATACATATTGTATATACAGTATGTATTATATATACTATATATTGTATATATAGTATATATAATACATACTGTATATACATGTATATAAGTATATATACATATATACTGTATATATGTATATATACATATATTGTATATATGTGTATATATAGTATATATGTATATACAATATTGTATATACAATATATAGTATATGTACATATATATGGTGTGTGTGTGTGTGTATATATATATATATAAGCCAACATTTATCAAATAAAAGAAAAATCATTTAACCCAATATAGCTTTCATAAAATAAGAAAATAAACTAGGAATATAGTGTCATTTCCTTGTACAATAATATACAATAATGTACAATAATGGAGAATTTACATGCTTTCTTTTGCAAATGTAGACACTAAACTTCGTGAAGAGGCAGATGATGATCAGGAAAAAAGAAAAAGTTAATTCATGAGAATAATGGCCTACTTTATTAGTCAGAGTTTTCCAGAGAAATAGAACTAATTGGAGATACACACACACACGTGTGTGTATACACACATACTTCTTTCTGTGCTTCTTTCTCTCCAAATACATACACACATATATGTGTGTGTGCATTTGCGTGTGTGTGTGTGTGTGTGTGTGTATTTGGAGAGAGAAGCACAGAAAGACAGACTGAGAAAGAGAAATAGAGGGAGAGATTTAATATAAGGAATTGGCTCATATGATGACTAAAAAGCTGAGAAGTCTCATAATCTACAGACCAATGTAAGCTGGAGGTGTAGTTCCCAGCCAAGTCTAAAGGTATGAGAACCAGGAGAAATGATAGCATAAGTTCTAGTTCAAGCTCAAATGCCTGAGAACCAGGAACACTGATGATGTAAGTTCCAGTTCAAGGGCAGAAGAAGGCTGATGTTCCAGCTCAGATAATCAAGCAGAGAGATACTATTCTCCCTTCCTCTGCCTTTTTGTTCTATTTAGGTCTCCATAAGATTGGATGAGGCCTGCCCTTATTGGGGAGGACAATCTCTTTTACTCAGTCTATTGATTCAAGCGCTAATCTCTTCTGGAAACACCCTCACAGACACACCCTAAAATAATGATTGTCCAGAAAGCAGGGTACCTCATGACTTAGTCAAGTTGACACATAAAATTAACCATCAAATATATCAATAAATATTTTATTCCAAAATAAAGTGAGAATTTTTCCTAGCACAGTACTTGTAAGGTATTATGACTAATTTCCTAAGGCAATCTACTTATTTTACTTTTCTTTTTTTAGGCATAGTCTCACTCTGTCACCCAGGCTTGAATTCAGTGGTGAAATCACAGCTCATTGTGGCCTCAACCTTTCCTGCGTTCAGGTGATCCTCCCACCTTGGCCTCCCGAGTAGCTGGGACTACAGATGCATGCCACCATGCCCGGCTAATTTTTGTATTTTTTGTGGAGATGAGGTTTCACCATTTTGCCCAGGCTGGTCTCAAACTCCTGGGCTCAAGCACCAGCCTCAGCCTCCCAAAGTGCTAGGATTACAGGTCTGGCAATAATTTACTTTGTATGTGTCACATGATTGCAAACTATTTCTGAATAGCTAGAAAAAAAAAGATTTGCTTTTCTTACTCCTGTGTATTCGCATACATCTGTCTTGCTTTTTTTCTGAAAAGATTTATATTAGTAGTTCTGTAGATGCCATAGGATCTATGCAGGCATAAAAAGGATTCAATTAAAAATGTTGCAAACAACTTTATTGGCAGCATAAATTCTATTGATTAGGTCTTGTAAATTCATAAATCAGATTTTTCTCTATACACTCACTGCAATCACAAAACCAAATACATGTAAATTCCCATTATATCATTTGTTCTGAGTTTTTCTTTAATGATTTTTGAAATGTGAGGTTTTTTTTTGGAGTTCAGACTATGGAAACTCGATTTCTATAATAGTTAATGTCTCTAAACATTATTCTTACAAATTTTGAAGTCAAGGTTTTATATTAAATAAACTCAACAAATACATTCTTTTTATTATAGCTTGTTTAAAAAATAAGTTTTGGCTGGGCATGGTGGCTCTCGCCTGCAATCCTATCACTTTGGGAGGCCAAAGAAGGTGCATTGCTTGTGTCCAGGAACTCGAGACCAGCCTGGGCAATATGGTGAAATGCCATCACTACAAAAATTGCAAAAATTAGCCGGGCAAGGTGGCGCGCACCTGCAGTCCCAGCTATTCAGCTGTTCGGAAGGTTGAGGTAGGAGGATCACTTGAGCCTGGGAGGTGGAGGTTTGAAGTGAGCGGAGACAGCGCCACTACACTCCAGCCTGGGTGACAGGCTGAGACCCCCCGTCTGGAAAAAATACATAAAAATTTTAAAAAGTTTTATCTTCACTTATTTCATTTAATAGTATATTCTTTGGTACCAGATAATGTTTTATGACCATATGATTATTCATTTTCGATAATACCTGGCAATTGAAGTGATAATAATTATTGCCTCATAATTCCCAACAGAGATTAAAAAGTGAGAAACTGAATCTTTGAATCCTTGTAGAAACCTTGGCATCTCCTGAAACGATAGATGCATTTCTTTTTTGTGTTTTGTTTTATGGCTTAGGCATCATTTAGACAGAGGCATTATTTAACACTTAAACACCTATTTTCCTGAAATGTAACAAGAAAAACTACATGTTTTTTTTTTGTTTGTTTTTACCCCAAAGGAAATACAGTTGGTAGAATAAGTCCTGGACCTGAAGCCAGAGGAACTTGAGTTCAAGTAGACAGAGGCTCTGTCACAATTTACATGGAATGTCTCAATTTTCTCTTTCTCTAATCCTGAGTTTTCTCCACTGCAAAACAGGGTTATAGTACCCTCACTCTTCCTATCTCACATGGTGAAGGTAAATATCAGATTGAATGAAGTAATGGATAATTGCAAACATTAACTGGGTTCCTGGCAGGATCCAGGTACTATGATTTCTTTTTCATATGCAAAATTGCATTTCATCTTTGCCAAGACCCTCTGAGAAATGTATTATGCTTATCTCATTTTACTAGTAAAGAAAGTTAGCCTAAAAAAGTTAAAGCGACTTTTCCAAGTCCCATGATGGTAATGCAGTCATGACTAGGTTCCAGATTTTGTGATGTTCATGTTCTTGACACCTGCAACTGGTTGAGAGTATCGTGTAACCAGAAGAGTGTGCATACCAAAGCTCTCATAATTAACAGGTAAAACATTGTGAGCAAAGAGATTCAAGCTATTTGAGAGCTCTTTTAATTAAACAACATGTTACAATAAAATTTAAAAAAAACACCAAATGGGGAGTCAAATAAATGTGTTTTTTTCCTCATTTTGGATAAGCTACTCTTAGCCTTGACTTCTGAAACATAAGAGTGCCATTAATAGGCAACTTCTTCAAAATTCAATTAATGCAACAAATTGAAGAGAAGATAAAGAAATCATATTTTTTACTGATAATTTAAAAAAATTCATAGGAAATAATTTGGATTTAGACATGTCTTAGAAGTAGGGTGACCAACTTTTCCAGTTTGTTCAAGATTCAGGAAGTTTCCTGGACACAGTACTTTGAATGTTGAAACTAGAAATATTCCAGGCAAATTAGGCATTGGTCAACATACTCATAATCTTGAAATCAGCATAGTTAAAATCATTTTTCCTTATGTTTAAGTAGAACTTGTTCTAGAGAAGGAAGTAGATTCTTTTTTCCCCAGAATTACTTCAAATGAGTGTTGAATCCTTTGTGGTCTATGTAACATAACTGTCCCAGAATTTTCTATTAAAAAAAAAATGACTTCAAGTTGAAGGCAGTTTACATAAAATCTTAAAGTCAGAATACTTTTCTTAGATAGGTAGGCTTAGTTTCTGCCACACCAGGTATCCCTTCATTCCTTTCCAGTTGATCTGAGGGCTTCTGCTCCCTGTATTCTTTGATTTTGCCATAAGAAAAATCTTATTGGAATCCTGACTCTCATATACTTTCAATCTGTAATGAAGCTGGAACAAACAAGGAAAAAAATTCCAAGTATCATTGAACTATGTATCATCCATATTCTTTTTTTAGCTGTAAGCAAGACAGACTAATTCAAGGTAGCATAAACGAGAATAAACAGTTCCTTTATTTTAATAACATGAGGTGTCTCTGAACAAAATAGGGAACCAAAAATGTGCAAAGGACTTTGCCTTTGTATCTCATTCGTTCTTCATTTTGTGTGTTCTTCATTTGTTCTTCTTTGCACCAGCCTTGTGGCTTCTCGAGTTCACATGGTGAAAAACATGACATATATAGCTAAAATATTAATGTATTATAGGTTAGGTGACCAACTTCATGAGAGAAATTATCTCTTTGGGCCCCAGCTGAAAATTCTTAGGAAGGAAATTAATGACTGTCCTTAGATTGTTGGCTCCATCAACTAAAACCAGAGTGCAGAGTCATGCTGCAGGAATAAGACTGCCAAGAATTACTCCTATAACCAACCAACTATATGTGCTCAGACAGGGGAAGTTTCCAGAAAAATGAAAGACTGGGCAGATAATATATGAAGTATCCAATTTGCTGTCTCACTCAGCTTACAGTGGCAGAAAATAGCCTACACATGTTTGCTGAAAAATAAAATAATATCGAATGCAGGTTCATGTCTGACAGTAGCCAAGAATTTGTCTGGGTTTCTCTTGCCTGCAACTTGATGTCATTATGTTTTTTAATGGAAAATTCTGGGGCAGAGTTATGTTATATAGACCCACAAAGGATTCGACTTTCTTTTTCTAGAAAGTTACTTCATGGAATAATTCAGCTTAATAACAACAAAAATGTTTAGCCAATCTAACCAAGTTAAAGTTGTAGACTGATATATTTCAGTTCACTTGGACTTTTTTAGAACAAGTGGAAGATGGAGAGAAGCCAGTATAAAAATGGCATTAATGCCTCGATATCATATGACTGACGTCAGCTTCCTCAAGAAGTCTTTTTGACAATTTCTGCTCACTATTTTTCTCCTTTCTCATAATTTGTTTATATTTATAGTAAGTACCTTTGTATGTTATTTGATAATATCTTGATAAATTGATTTAAATTGATTTTAATAAAGTATTGTTCCCCTATACAGTATAAATTACTTGAGATCAAGGCCAAAGTCTTTATACTGTTAAATATTGCTCATTTTTTTCTTGATCTTTTTTTCTTTTTCTTTTTTCCACTCTCCTTTCTTGCAACCTTTTCTTCACCAATATGGAATATGTTCAATATATCTTCCCATACCCTGGATGCTGGGACAGTGTTATGAACTGAATGTTTGTGTTCTCTCCCCGAAATTCATATGTTGATATTAAAACTTCCAATATGGTGGTATTAGGGGGGACTTTGGGAGATGATTAGAGAATGAGGGTGTAGCCTCCATGAATGGGATTAAGGCCATATAAGAGAGATCCAAAAGAGCTCATTTGCCTTCTTTTCTGCCATATGAGAATACCATGAGAAGTCTGCAACCTGGAATCAGACCCTCACCAGAACCCAACCATGCTAGCATGGTGATCTCAAACTTCCTGCCTTGAGAACTGTGAGAAAAAAAAAATTCTGTTGTTTATAAGTGACCCAGTCTATGGAACTTTATCATAAGCAGCCTGAACTGCGACAGACAAAAAGCATAAGTAAGAGCAAATATTTTTTGAATGGTTATTATATATCTGGCAATTTGCTAAGAACCTTACAGTGATTGACCCATTTAATCTTCCTATAAACCTAGGGTGTAGGTGTTGTAATTACCAATATTTTACAGATGAGGAAACTAAGAAACAGAGTTTAGTAAACTGTCCAGATCAACTAATAAGGAGCTTTCAAAACCCAGCATAATGTTAACTACCATATAATATGATATTCCCACATTATATGGAATTTCAGGCTCAAATAAGTTATGTGAAAATTTAGGATGACTATTATTGTAAGTTTATTCTCTACTTCATTCCCACACTCTATTATTTTGCAGCTGATTTGAGCTGTAGATATAGCTGGATTTCTGTAAATATTTTTTGATAGATTAATACTTTACAATAAAGAATATATAACAATTAAATAGCATTGCTGGAATTTGCTTTCTTTGTTCTATTAGAGAAGTTTCCTTTTTAGAATCTTGTGCAATATGAATCCTGATGACATACTGCATCTCATTGCCAATATCTGACTAATTCCCTGTATGAAGTTGAAATAAAAATTACTCATTTCCTGTACAAAGCTTATGTATACAGGAATTAGTTTTAACCTAAGTGGGTCACAAAATGTAAATGTGCAAAAAGCATAATAAATTACATTCTGCTGTGAGATCAAGGAACATATAGTGCCCAGTAAAGACAATTAGTTATTAGTTGAGGAATCAAGTTCATATGAAGATATTTGCATTAAACATAATTTCACTTCAAGCCATATTTCCAGCACACATATAAATACAGATGTAATATTAAGCTTGGAAAATTAATATATGGAATTTTCTAAGAGGGCAGAGATAACAATAAAAGTAAATAATTTCTATTTTATTGAGTTTTTTGCCTCAGATATTTTTTATTCTATATGTGCTATTTTTAGTTCACATTCAGTTTTACCAAGGTAAGTGTGAAGTTCTTCTAATATCAGTTACTTAAGTTAGTGATATTTCAAACAGAGACAAGGGGTTGGTTGTGGTAAACTCTACTGAGCTCATATTAAGCCTTTTGTAATTCTCTTTAATAAAAACAAACCAAACAACAACAACAACAACATAAAACCGATTATGCCAATAAAATGATATTTTTAAAATGAGATAAATTGTTCAAAGGATAATGCTCTGCCAGGGGTTATGCTTGAATATCTAAAATGTGTCCATTATTCTAAAATGTTTTTTTTTCTGTTGGTTTTATTATTATTATTATTATTTCATTTATTTATTTATTTATTTATTTTTATTATACTTTAAGTTTTAGGGTACATGTGCACATTGTGCAGGTTAGTTACATATGTATACATGTGCCATGCTGGTGCGCTGCACCCACTAACTCGTCATCTAGCATTAGGTATATCTCCCAGTGCTATCCCTCCCCCCTCCCCCCACCCCACCACAGTCCCCAGAGTGTGATATTCCCCTTCCTGTGTCCATGTGATCTCATTGTTCAATTCCCACCTATGAGTGAGAATATGCGGTGCTTGGTTTTTTGTTCTTGCGATAGTTTACTGAGAATGATGGTTTCCAATTTCATCCATGTCCCTACAAAGGACATGAACTCATCATTTTTTTATGGCTGCATAGTATTCCATGGTGTATATGTGCCACATTTTCATAATCCAGTCTATCATTGTTGGACATTTGGGTTGGTTCCAAGTCTTTGCTATTGTGAATAATGCCGCAATAAACATACGTGTGCATGTGTCTTTATAGCAGCATGATTTATAGTCATTTGGGTATATACCCAGTAATGGGATGGCTGGGTCAAATGGTATTTCTAGTTCTAGATCCCTGAGGAATCGCCACACTGACTTCCACAATGGTTGAACTAGTTTACAGTCCCACCAACAGTGTAAAAGTGTTCCTATTTCTCCACATCCTCTCCAGCACCTGTTGTTTCCTGACTTTTTAATGATTGCCATTCTAACTGGTGTGAGATGATATCTCATAGTGGTTTTGATTTGCATTTCTCTGATGGCCAGTGATGATGAGCATTTTTTCATGTGTTTTTTGGCTGCATAAATGTCTTCTTTTGAGAAGTGTCTGTTCATATCCTTCGCCCACTTTTTGATGGGGTTGTTTGTTTTTTTCTTGTAAATTTGTTTGAGTTCATTGTAGATTCTGGATATTAGCCCTTTGTCAGATGAGTAGGTTGCGAAAATTTTCTCCCATGTTGTAGGTTGCCTGTTCACTCTGATGGTAGTTTCTTTTGCTGTGCAGAAGCTCTTTAGTTTAATTAGATCCCATTTGTCAATTTTGGCTTTTGTTGCCATTGCTTTTGGTGTTTTGGACATGAAGTCCTTGCCCATGCCTATGTCCTGAATGGTAATGCCTAGGTTTTCTTCTAGGGTTTTTATGGTTTTAGGTCTAACGTTTAAATCTTTAATCCATCTTGAATTGATTTTTGTGTAAGGTGTAAGGAAGGGATCCAGTTTCAGCTTTCTACATATGGCTAGCCAGTTTTCCCAGCACCATTTATTAAATAGGGAATCCTTTCCCCATTGCTTGTTTTTCTCAGGTTTGTCAAAGATCAGATAGTTGTAGGTATGCGGCGTTATTTCTGAGGGCTCTGTTCTGTTCCATTGATCTATATCTCTGTTTTGGTACCAGTACCATGCTGTTTTGGTTACTGTAGCCTTGTAGTATAGTTTGAAGTCAGGTAGTGTGATGCCTCCAGCTTTGTTCTTTTGGCTTAGGATTGACTTGGCGATGCGGGCTCTTTTTTGGTTCCATATGAACTTTAAAGTAGTTTTTTCCAATTCTGTGAAGAAAGTCATTGGTAGCTTGATGGGGATGGCATTGAATCTATAAATTACCTTGGGCAGTATGGCCATTTTCATGATATTGATTCTTCCTACCCATGAGCATGGAATGTTCTTCCATTTGTTTGTATCCTCTTTTATTTCCTTGAGCAGTGGTTTGTAGTTCTCCTTGAAGAGGTCCTTCACATCCCTTGTAAGTTGGATTCCTAGGTATTTTATTCTCTTTGAAGCAATTGTGAATGGGAGTTCACTCATCATTTGGCTCTCTGTTTGTCTGTTGTTGGTGTATAAGAATGCTTGTGATTTTTGCACATTGATTTTGTATCCTGAGACTTTGCTGAAGTTGCTTATCAGCTTAAGGAGATTTTGGGCTGAGACGATGGGGTTTTCTAGATAAACAATCATGTCGTCTGCAAACAGGGACAATTTGACTTCCTCTTTTCCTAATTGAATACCCTTTATTTCCTTCTCCTGCCTGATTGCCCTGGCCAGAACTTCCAACACTATGTTGAATAGGAGTGGTGAGAGAGGGCATCCCTGTCTTGTGCCAGTTTTCAAAGGGAATGCTTCCAGTTTTTGCCCATTCAGTATGATATTGGCTGTGGGTTTGTCATAGATAGCTCTTATTATTTTGAAATACGTCCCATCAATACCTAATTTATTGAGAGTTTTTAGCATGAAGGGTTGTTGAATTTTGTCAAAGGCTTTTTCTGCATCTATTGAGATAATCATGTGGTTTTTGTCTTTGGCTCTGTTTATATGCTGGATTACATTTATTGATTTGCGTATATTGAACCAGCCTTGCATCCCAGGGATGAAGCCCACTTGATCATGGTGGATAAGCTTTTTGATGTGCTGCTGGATTCGGTTTGCCAGTATTTTATTGAGGATTTTTGCATCAATGTTCATCAAGGATATTGGTCTAAAATTCTCTTTTTTGGTTGTGTCTCTGCCCGGCTTTGGTATCAGAATGATGCTGGCCTCATAAAATGAGTTAGGGAGGATTCCCTCTTTTTCTATTGATTGGAATAGTTTCAGAAGGAATGGTACCAGTTCCTCCTTGTACCTCTGGTAGAATTCGGCTGTGAATCCATCTGGTTCTGGACTCTTTTTGGTTGGTAAACTATTGATTATTGCCACAATTTCAGCTCCTGTTATTGGTCTATTCAGAGATTCAACTTCTTCCTGGTTTAGTCTTGGGAGAGTGTATGTGTCGGGGAATGTATCCATTTCTTCTAGATTTTCTAGTTTATTTGCGTAGAGGTGTTTGTAGTATTCTCTGATGGTAGTTTGTATTTCTGTGGGATCAGTGGTGATATCCCCGTTATCATTTTTTATTGTTTCTATTTGATTCTTCTCTCTTTTTTTCTTTATTAGTCTTGCTAGCGGTCTATCAATTTTGTTGATCCTTTCAAAAAACCAGCTCCTGGATTCATTAATTTTTTGAAGGGTTTTTTGTGTCTCTATTTCCTTCAGTTCTGCTCTGATTTTAGTTATTTCTTGCCTTCTGCTAACTTTTGAATGTGTTTGCTCTTGCTTTTCTAGTTCTTTTAATGGTGATGTTAGGGTGTCAATTTTGGATCTTTCCTGCTTTCTCTTGTGGGCATTTAGTGCTATAAATTTCCCTCTACACACTGCTTTGAATGCGTCCCAGAGATTCTGGTATGTGGTGTCTTTGTTCTCGTTGGTTTCAAAGAACATCTTTATTTCTGCCTTCATTTCGTTATGTACCCAGTAGTCATTCAGGAGCAGGTTGTTCAGTTTCCATGTAGTTGAGCGGTTTTGAGTGAGATTCTTAATCCTGAGTTCTAGTTTGATTGCACTGTGGTCTGAGAGATAGTTTGTTATAATTTCTGTTCTTTTACATTTGCTGAGGAGAGCTTTACTTCCAACTATGTGGTCAATTTTGGAATAGGTGTGGTGTGGTGCTGAAAAAAATGTATATTCTGTTGATTTGGGGTGGAGAGTTCTGTAGATGTCTATTAGGTCCACTTGGTGCAGAGCTGAGTTCAATTCCTGGGTATCCTTGTTGACTTTCTGTCTCGTTGATCTGTCTAATGTTGACAGTGGGGTGTTAAAGTCTCCAATTATTAATGTGTGGGAGTCTAAGTCTCTTTGTAGGTCACTCAGGACTTGCTTTATGAATCTGGGTGCTCCTGTATTGGGTGCATATACATTTAGGATACTTAGCTCCTCTTGTTGAATTGATCCCTTTACCATTATGTAATGGCCTTCTTTGTCTCTTTTGATCTTTGTTGGTTTAAAGTCTGTTTTATCAGAGACTAGGATTGCAACCCCTGCCTTTTTTTGTTTTCCATTTGCTTGGTAGATCTTCCTCCATCCTTTTATTTTGAGCCTATGTATGTCTCTGCACGTGAGATGGGTTTCCTGAATACAGCACACTGATGGGTCTTGACTCTTCATCCAACTTGCCAGTCTGTGTCTTTTAATTGGAGAATTTAGTCCATTTACATTTAAAGTTAATATTGTTATGTGTGAATTTGATCCTGTCATTATGATGTTAGCTGGTTATTTTGCTCATTAGTTGATGCAGTTTCTTCCTAGTCTCGATGGTCTTTACATTTTGGCATGATTTTGCAGCGGCTGGTACCGGTTGTTCCTTTCCACGTTTAGCGCTTCCTTCAGGAGCTCTTTTAGGGCAGGCCTGGTGGTGACAAAATCTCTCAGCATTTGCTAGTCTGTAAAGTATTTTATTTCTCCTTCACTTATGAAGCTTAGTTTGGCTGGATATGAAATTCTGGGTTGAAAATTCTTTTCTTTAAGAATGTTGAATATTGGCCCCCACTGTCTTCTGGCTTGTAGGTTTTCTGCCGAGAGATCCGCTGTTAGTCTGATGTGCTTCCCTTTGAGGGTAACCCGACCTTTCTCTCTGGCTGCCCTTAACATTTTTTCCTTCATTTCAACTTTGGTGAATCTGACAATTGTGTGTCTTGGAGTTGCTCTTCTCGAGGAGTATCTTTGTGGCGTTCTCTGTATTTCCTGAATCTGAACGTTGGCCTGCCTTGCTAGGTTGGGGAAGTTCTCCTGGATAATATCCTGCAGAGTGTTTTCCAACTTGGTTCCATTCTCCCCATCACTTTCAGGTACACCAATCAGACGTAGATTTGGTCTTTTCACATAGTCCCATATTTCTTGGAGGCTTTGCTCATTTCTTTTTATTCTTTTTTCTCTAAACTTCCCTTCTCGCTTCATTTCATTCATTTCATCTTCCATTACTGATACCCTTTCTTCCAGTTGATCGCATCGGCTCCTGAGGCTTCTGCATTCTTCACGTAGTTCTCGAGCCTTGGTTTTCAGCTCCATCAGCTCCTTTAAGCACTTCTCTGTATTGGTTATTCTAGTTATACATTCTTCTAAATTTTTTTTCAGTTTTCAACTTCTTTGCCTTTGGTTTGAATGTCCTCCCGTAGCTCAGAGTAATTTGATCGTCTGAAGCCTTCTTCTCTCAGCTCGTCAAAATCATTCTCCATCCAGCTTTGTTCCGTTGCTGGTGAGGAACTGCGTTCCTTTGGAGGAGGAGAGGTGCTCTGCGTTTTAGAGTTTCCAGTTTTTCTGTTCTGTTTTTTCCCCATCTTTGCGGTTTTATCTACTTTTGGTCTTTGATGATGGTGATGTACAGATGGGTTTTCGGTGTGGATGTCCTTTCTGTTTGTTATTTTTCCTTCTAACAGACAGGACCCTCAGCTGCAGGTCTGTTGGAATACCCTGCCGTGTGAGGTGTCAGTGTGCCCCTGCTGGGGGGTGCCTCCCAGTTAGGCTGCTCGGGGGTCAGGGGTCAGGGACCCACTTGAGGAGGCAGTCTGCCCGTTCTCAGATCTCCAGCTGCGTGCTGGGAGAACCACTGCTCTCTTCAAAGCTGTCAGACAGGGACATTTAAGTCTGCAGAGGTTACTGCTGTCTTTTTGTTTGTCTGTGCCCTGCCCCCAGAGGTGGAGCCTACAGAGGCAGGCAGGCCTCCTTGAGCTGTGGTGGGCTCCACCCAGTTCGAGCTTCCAGGCTGCTTTGTTTACCTAAGCAAGCCTGGGCAATGGTGGGCGCCCCTCCCCCAGCCTCGCTGCCACCTTGCAGTTTGATCTCAGACTGCTGTGCTAGCAATCAGTGAGACTCTGTGAGCGTAGGACCCTGCGAGCCAGGTGTGGGATATAGTCTCGTGGTGCGCCGTTTTTTAAGCCGGTCTGAAAAGCGCAATATTCGGGTGGGAGTGACCCGATTTTCCAGGTGCGTCCGTCACCCCTTTCTTTGACTCGGAAAGGGAACCTGACCCCTTGCGCTTCCCAGGTGAGGCAATGCCTCGCCCTGCTTCGGCTCGCGCACGGTGCGCGCACCCACTGGCCTGCGCCCACTGTCTGGCACTCCCTAGTGAGATGAACCCGGTACCTCAGATGGAAATGCAGAAATCACCCGTCTTCTGCGTCGCTCACGCTGGGAGCTGTAGACCGCAGCTGTTCCTATTCGGCCATCTTGGCTCCTCCGACCTCCTAAAATGTTTTTAAGTGACCAAAATTTGGGATTTTTTGTATGCTCTGTCTTAAGTGATAATGAAGAACCAAACATTTGTCATGGAACCACAGACCTGAGTACCATCTTGTGCTTCAGAAGAACTGAAATCCTTATACTAACAGGAGGTAGAAAAAAATGCCACTATGATGCTCAGTTTGCAGAACAAAGAGAGCCAGCTGCATGATCACTTAGAATAGAGGTGTGCTCATTACAGAGGGTGAGAAAGGCGGGGTGTACGAAGCAAGGCATTTGCCTTGTCAACAGCCAGGCCATATGGAGAATGTATGTCACTATGAAGCTCTTGAATTTTTCAAAATTTTATTGGCAGAAGGGATTCTTTGGAAGAAGGGTCAGAGAGTGCCACATTATAACTCTTGAAAGTAGCTAGGAGATCATCATCTTGCCTGAGAAGAAGTCGAGGCCCAGAGAGATCAAATAATGCCCTCAAGTTCACATGACCCATGAGAAAAGGTGCTTTTTTTCTTTCAATCCCAAGAGCTCTTTCTATGACATCATGTGTCTTGTGTGTCTCGTGTGATCCTGTTAGCAAATAGGAAGCTTCTTTCCGTATTCTCCACTCCTTAAATTTCTTTAACTTCAAGTAATTTATTTTGTGATTCCAGGAAATAGTGCTTAAGTATTCTTTACATCTATCAAGATCTGCAAGTTAATTAGTTGATCTGTTACTCTTTTTAAGCAAAAAGGAATATTTGTTGTTCTAGTTTTTCTAAATATAATGTGCTTTATTTTAAAAAGCATTTTTTTTGCAATTTATTAATTTATTGTAGAATTGCCCTGGCTAGTTATTCAGTGGAACAGAGATACAAAATAGAATTTTCTTGAAGCTTAAGGTCTGTTTAAAACTATTGAGATATTGAATTTCCCGACAATTTTTTGACCACTTATGAGATTACATTAAATATAATTTCCCAGCTCTGAATTAACTTGGGTAAAAGTGGTGTGCAGGTGAGCATTCTGAGAACTTTTATTTCTTCATTTGACCCCACTTTAACTTGGCAACTTGCTCTTTAACTTCGTTACTCAAATCTCACTCAAACACCCTAAGTTCTGGAGAAATTTTATGTTATTGAGTGTTCTATTTTATATACTGGGTCTTGTAATGCTAACCAATTACATACATTATAACACTGTATATTTAAATAAATCCTGGAAGTTAGGTAGTATTATATTTCTCATTTTCAGATGTAGTGATTAAGATACAGGATTTATATTGCATTTGTAGTAAATGAAAGAACTAATAATGGCACTCATGCCTGTCTGAATCTAGTGTGCCTATATTTAATCACTGTGCTACACTGAAATATAAATTACTTTTTACGTGCTAGTCCCAGGACACATGATGCATTATTATACCTCCACGTCCTTAGTTACACTATTTTCTAGAATGCAATTGACCAATGCTCAGTCTGACATTTTCTACTACTGAAATCATTTTACACTTTAAGCTTCTCATCATTGTCAATTTTTATATGAAACCTACTTGGATATTTCTGATTACAATGAATCCTGTCCACTTACGGGATTCTCAAGTAGTATTATTCAACTTATGACAGTTTGAATGGTTATACATCAATTTATAAACTCCTTAATGGTGGAACTAAAATGTACTTGTCCTTGAATCTCCATGACCTAGGTCAGCATGTAGAAATAGATATGGAGTCATTATAAATTGATTTAATTTGATTGAACAAAAATCTGTAGTAGAATATATTTTATAACTCCTTCCCTGTCTGTCTCTCTTCTGGTGTTGCATCTGAAAAAAAAGCAGTTTTATGCTCAAGTAAGATACATATTTCCTTTTTGTGAAAAACTATTCTATCTCGTTTATCTTATAAATTAAAAATATTCATATTAAATCCTGTATTGGTCTGTTCTTGCACTGCTATAAAAAACCCTGAAACTTGGTAATTTTTAGGTAAAGAGGTTTAACTGGCTCATGGTTCCACAGACTGTGCAGGAAGCATGGCTGGTGAAGCCTCAGAAAACTTTCAGTCATGGCAGAAGGCAAAGGGGAAACAGGAATGGCTTACACGCCCAGAGGAGGAGGAAGAGAGAAAAAGGGGAGTTGCTATATACTTTAAAATAACCAGATTTTATGAGAAGTCACTATCATGAGAGCAGCAAAAATTCACTTCCATGATATAGTCATCTCCCACCAGGCCCCTCCTCTAACATGGGGGAATAAAATTTAACATGAGATTGAGCAGGGACACAAATCCAGCCATATTATTCTGCCCTGGCCACCCCTGCCCTCCCATCCCCCACCCCACCCAAATCTCATGTCCTTCTCACACTGCAAAATACAATCATCCTTTCTCAACAGTACCCCATGTCTTAACTCATTTCAGCATTAACTCAAAAGTCTACAGTCCAAAGTCCCTTTTGAGACAAGGCAAATCCCTTCCAACTACGAGCCTGTAAAATTAAAAAAAAAATTAGCTACTTCCAAGATACAGTGGGGCTACAGGCATTGGCTACATACTCCCAATCCCAAAGGTAGAGATTGGCCAAAACAAAGGGGTTACAGACCTCATGAAGTCTGAAATCCAGCAGGGCAGGCTTTAAATTTTAAGCTTCAAAATAATCTTCTTTGACTCTATGTCTCATATCCAGGCCACACTGATGCAAGGGGTGGATTCCTTAGGTCTTGAGAAGCTCCTCTCTCGTGGCTCTGCAGGTCTCAGCTCCCATGGCTGTTCTCAAGGGCTGGTGTTGAGTGTCTGTGGTTTTTCCAGGTGCATGGTACAAGCTGTTGGTGGAGCTACCATTCTGGGGTCTGGAGGAGGGCAGCCCTCTTCTCACAGATCAACTAAGCAGTGCCCCAGTGGGAACTCTGTGTGGAGCTCCAGCTTCACGTTTCCTTTCCACACTTCCCTAATAGAGGCTCCCCATGAGGGCTCCACCCCTGCAGCAGACATCCAGGAATTTCCATACATCCTGTGAAAACTAGGCGGAGGCTCCCATGCCTCAACTTTTGCCCTCTGCACACCTGCAAGCTTAAAACCACATGGAAGTCACCAAAGTTATGGCTTGCACTCTCTGAAGCAACAGCGTGAACTGTACCTTGGCCTCTTTAAATGACCAGCATATCCTATGGTCAAATGCTCCTGCAGCTGGAGCTGCGGAGATGCAGGGTGCCATGTCCTGAGGCTGCACAGAGCAGCAGTGGCCCTGGGCCTGGACCATGAAACCATTTTTCCCTCCTAGTCCTCCAGGCGTGTGATGGGAGAGGTTGCCTTGAGGCATTTTCTCCACTATTTTGGCTATCAACATTTGACTCCTCTTTACTTATGCAAATTTCTCAGCTGGCTTAAATTTCTCCCCAGAAAATGCCTTTTTCTTTTCTACCACATGGTCAGGTTGCAAGTTTTTCAAACTTTTATGCTCTGCTTCCCTTTTGAATATAAGTTTCAGTTTCAGATCATCTCTTTGCTCATGCATATGAGCATTCTTGAATGCTTTGCTGCTTAGAAATTTCTTCTGGCAAATACACTAAATCATCACTCTCAAGTTCAAAGCTCCCAACATGTTCTTCATCTCCACCTGAGACCTCATCAGCCTGGCCCCTTCTGTCCATATCACTATCAGCATTTTGGTCAAAACCATTTAACAAGTCTTTAGGAAGATTCAGATTTTCCCACATCTTCCTGTCTTCTTCTGAGCCCTCCACACTCTTCCAACCTCTGCCTGTTACCCAGTTCCAAAGTCACTTCCACATTTTCAGGTGTTTTCATAGCAATGCCTCACCTCTCAGCACCAATATTCTGTATTAGTCCATTCTCACACTGCTATACAGCAATACCTAGAACTGACACAAGTATATATTTTTCACAAGAGCTTTAATTGGCTCATGGTTCCACAGGAAGTACAGGAAGCATGGCTGGTGGCTGGGGAGGCCTCAGGAAATTCTGAATCATGGCATCAGCAGAAGCAGGAATGTCTTACATGGTGGAAGAAGGAGGAAGAGAGCGAATGGGGAGATGCTACACACTTATAAACAACCAGATCTGATGAGAACTCACTCACTATCATAACAATAAGGTGGAAGTTCACCCCCATGATCCAATCACCTCCCACCAGGCCCCTTCTCCAACACTGAGGATTACAATTCAACCTGAGATTTGGGCAGGGACACAAATCCAAACCATATCATTCCTAAACAGACTTACTACCATACAGAAAATTTGATATAAGAATGAACCAAAGATGAGCAATTATTTGAAACAATTTGTGTACATTCCTGTATATCATGTGACTGTGAGCATGTACATAAGCAGGAAGTTACCTCTTAGGAACTGCTGTATCTTTAGACATGCTGATCACTACCCACACACCCAAAAAAAAATCTTTTTATCTTACTCCCAGTTTCTGATTTTTTGATGAGTGTGCAATGACAAGATGCCATTATAATTTTGTTTGCTGTCAATGTCTTTATGGAATTTGATGAGTGTGTCAAACTGTAGAGTGCATAGTATATGTTAAGAAATAGAACATTTGTCTCATGAGGTAAATGTTGACACACTTTTCAATTTGGTTAGTGGAACTCCTGGAACCCTTCAAAAAGTAAAATTCTTGTATGAAGTCTGTTGAGCAGTTAATCTCCTAATCCCTTACTCCATATAAAGTGAAGTTAGTGCATGCCCAAATTTTTAAACATTTTACCCAAGAGTCTAGCAGTAATAATTAGAAGAGCAGCTTGGGAACAATTCTGGTACATCTATTTTAGGGTTGTATTTTATTTGATATGGAATATATATATTAGAAGAAGACAAATGTAGCCAAACAGAACCACATCTAGCCAAACTTATTCTTGGTTCTCAGAACTGCTGGCCTTGTTCTTACAGACACACTTAGACATCTATGTTAATGCTCTCAGTGAAATATCTGTAAGGTATTGTGTGAGCGAATTTAATAAATATGTCTCTATGAACTTACAAAAAATAACATGCTAAAGCACTTTGGAAGTGGTTAAGGGCTACACTAAGGGGTTTCCCGTCAAGACAGAATAGTGCTTGCAAACATCATCACACCCCCTGTACATCAGTCTGGGCAAGAAGCAAAATCCAAGTCAGATGGGTTCAATACAGAGATTGAAATGAAGGAATTACTTATAGAAATGCAGGCAGGGAAAGTTATTATCACTTCCAGCCCTGCTTTCTCAGGTTTTTTGTTCCCTGATTTCCTCCTTGTGTGTGCCTTAAAAAATTCCAAGAAGTTTGGGCAACAAAGTCTGTTAAATCAGTTTCTCGGAGTATAATGCATTACAGAGAAGGGAGGATAATAAATCTGAAAAGAGAGGTTGCTAACAAAATTGAACCAGAATATTCTATGGTCAAATGCAAAGCAACGAGACAAAAAAAAAAAAAAAAAAAAAAAAGGGAGAGAAAACTGAAAACTTTATACCTAGAAAAAATACATATGAACTTTTTTATAGAACAAAAATTGAGCAGCAATATAAAAACATGAACTAGAATGAAGCTCTGGGCCAGCTGCCAGCAGCTTAGTATCTGAGGTAAGAGGAGTCTTACATGTTTGGTGCCTTGTTTAGGTAAGGGGGCTAGAGCTAATATACTGCTTTAAATAGCGTTTTGAGTGTCATCCTCTCAAAGGAAGGCTCAAATAATTTGCTGTATGTGGAGACACAGTCTTGGAGATTTTCAAATAACTGAAGTTAAAAATGAGCAAATCTTATGAAAAAATTAATATTAAAAATATGTTGAGCAAATAATAATATTTATGTTCACCTCGCGGTAATTTTTGCATATGATGAGAGGAATGGGTTCAGTTTCATTCTTCTGCATATGGCTATCCAATTTTCTCTGCACCATTTATTGAATAGGGTGTCATTTCTCCAGTGTACATTTTTGTTGGCTCTGTTGAGGATTAGTTTGGAGGTATGTGGTTTAACTTCTGGGTTCTCTACTCTATTCCACTGATCTATGTGTCTGTTTTTATTCTAGTATCATGCTGGTACTATAGCCTCATACTATAATTTGAAGTCAGATAATGTGATGCCTCCAGCTTTGTTCATTTTGTTAAGGATTGCTCTGGCCATTCAGGCTCTTTTTTGACTCCATATGAATTTTAGGATTTTTATCTAATTCTGTGACAAATGATGTTGGCAATTTGAGAGAGATTGCATTGAATCTACAGATTGCTTTGGGCAGTAGAGCCATATTAACAATATTGTTTCATCTAATCCATGACCATAAGATGTTTTTCTATTTGTTTGTGTCATCTATAATTTATTTCATCAGTGTTTTGTAGTTCTCCTTATAGAGGTCTTTCACCTCGTTGGTTAAACATATTCATAGACATTTTATTTTATTTAGCAGCTATTATAAATGGGATTGCCTTCTTGATTTGGTCTTTGGCTAAGTTGCTATTGGTGTATAGAAATGCTATTGTTTTTTGTATATTATTTTTATATCCTGAAAATTTACTAAATTCATTTATCAAATCTAAGAGTGTTTTTGGTAGACTCCTTAGGATTTTCTAGATATAAGATTATATCATCAGTGAACTTGACTTTCTCTTTTCCAATTTAGATGCCTCTGACATTTTTCTCTTGCTTGATTGTTCTGGCAAGGAATTCCAGTCATATGTTGAATTAAGAGTAGTGAAAGGCCAGGCACAGTGGCTCACGCCTGTAATCCCAGCATATTGGGAGGCTGAGGCAGGTGGTTTACTTGAGGTCAGGAGTTTGAAACCAGCCTGTCCAACATGGCAAAACACTGCCTCTACTAGAAATATAAAAATTAGCCAGGTGTGGTGGCTCGTGCCCATATTCCCAGATGTTCAAGAGACTGAAGTAGGAGAATTGCTTGAACTCAGGGGGTGGAGGTTGCAGTGAGCCAAGATCATGCCACTGTACTCTAGACTGGGTGACAGAGGGAGGCTCTGTCTAAAAAAGAAAAAAAGTGATGAAGTTATAGTCTTTCTATGCCTAGTTTGTTGAGGATTTTCATCATGAAGAGATGCTGAATTTTACTGAAGGCTTTTTCTGAATCTATTGAGATAATTATATGGGTTTTAACCTTAATTCTGTTTATATGATGCATCACTTTATTGATTTGCATATGTTGAAACATCCTTGTATCTGCGGGATAAGTCCAATCTTTTCATGGTGTACTATCTTTTTGATGCTCTGTTGGATTTGATTTGCTAGTATTTTGTTGAAGACTTTTGTGTATATGTTCATCAGGGATATTCATCCGCAGATTCCTTTCTTTGGTTGTGTCCTTGTCTGGTTTTGGCAGCAGGATGATACTGGCTTTGTAGACTAAGTTAGGGAGAACTCTCTCTCATCAATTTTTGGGCACAGTTTCAGGAGGATTGGTATTAGATCTCTTTGTATGTTTGGTATAATTTGGCTGTGAATCCATTTCATCCTGGACTTTTTTTGTTAGAATTTATTTTTATTTTTATTTTATTGTTACTAATTCCATCTCGCTATTCATTATTGGTCTGTTTGGAAGTTCTATTTCTTCCTGGATCAGTATTCAGAGGTTGTGTGTTTCCATAAATTTATCTATTTCCTGGATTAAAGACTTAAACATAAGATCTGAAACTATAAAATGCCTAGGAGAAAACCCAGGAGAAACTCTCATGGACATTGGCCTAGGCAAAAAATGTACGACCATGTCCTCAAAAGCAACTGCAACAAAACCAAAAATAGACGAATGAGACTTAATTAAACTAAAACTAAAAGTTCTGCATAGCAAAATAAACAATCAACTGAGTAAATAGACGACCAATAGAATGAGAAACACATTTTCAAAATATGCATCTGACAAAAGGCTAATATCTAGAATCTACGAGGAACTCAAACAGCTCAACAAGAAAGAAAACCCATTTAAAAAGTGGGAAAAGGAAATAAACAGACATTTTACCAAAGAAGACGTACAACCTGCCAACAAACATATGAAAAAATGCTCAATATTGCTAATCATCAGAGAAATACAAATTAAAACCACAAGGAGATACCATCTTACACCAGTCAGAATAGCTATTATTAAAAAGTTTAAAACCAACATCTGTTGGTAAAAATGTGGAGAAAAGGGAACACTTATACATGGTGGGAATGTAATTTAGTACAACATTTATGGAAAGCAGTATGGTATGGACATTTCCCAAGGAACTTAAAATAGAACTACTATTCAATTCAGCAGTCCCACTACTAGGTATCTACCTAAAGGGAAAGATATGATTGTATAAGAAAGATATTTCTGCTAGTATGTTTATTACAGCACTATTCACAATAGCAAAGTAAGGAATAAATCTAAGCATCCATCAGTGGAGGACTGGATAAAGAAAATGTGGTTTATGGCTGGGCGTGGTGGTTCATGCCAGTAATCCCAGCACTTTGTGAGGCTGAGGTGGGAGAATCACCTGAGGTCAGGAGTTTGAGACCAGCCTGGCCAACATGGTGAAACCCTGTGTCTACTAAAAATACAGAAATTAGCAGGATGTGGTGCTAATTTATCGCTGAGTAGTATTCCATGGTGTGTGTGTGTGTGTGTGTGTGTGTGTGTGTGTGTGTGTGGTATATATATGCACATATATATACATGTATATATACCATGTATACATATGTATATACACACACGTATATATACCGTGTATATATATATATATATTATATATATATATACACATATATATAATATACACACACACACACACACACACACACACACACACCATGGAAAACTACTCAGCCATAAAAACATGAAATTATGTCTTTTGGGGTGGCCATTATCCTCAGTGAAATAACTCAGAAACAAAGTCAAATACCCCATGTTCTCATGTATAAGAGAGAGCTAAACAATGGGTACCCATGTACATACAGAATGGAATAATGGACATTGGAGACTGGAAGGTAGGAGCGTGGGACAGGAGTGAGGGTTGAAAAGGTACCTATTGTGTATAATGTTCACTATTCCAGTGATAAATACACTCAATGCCCAGAGTTCACCAATATACAATATATGCATGAATTAACCTGAACTTTACTCCCTAAATATATAAAACCCACAAATAGTTCTATGTTATTATTTGCAAAATAAATGAATGCAAGTATTGGCTGGATTCTCAAAAATATATTAGGAATAATAAAAGTTTCTTTAATTTTTAAAATTTATTTATTTATATTTATTTATTTATTTATTTATTTATTTATTTATTTTGAGACAGAGTCTCACTCTGTGGCCCAGGCTGGTGTGCAGTGGAATGATCTTGGCTTAGTGCAATCTCCGTCTTCTGGGTTCTTCAAGTGATTTTTCTGCCTCTGCCTCCCAAGTAGCTGGGACTACAGGTGTGTGCCACCATGCCTGGCTAATTTTTTTCTGAGACAGAGTCTCACTCTGTTGACCAGGCCGGAGTGCAGTGGCGTGATCTCTGCTCACTGCAACCTCAGCCTCCAGGATTCAAGCAATTTTGCCTCAGCCTCCCGAGTAGCTGGGATTACAGGCACCTGCCACCATGCCCAGCTAATTTTTGTATTTTTAGTAGAGACGGGGTTTCACCATGTTGGTCAGGCTAGTTTCGAACTCCTGAGCTCAGGTTCCTCGGCCTCCCAAAGTTCTGAGACTACAGGCATGAACCACCGCACCTGACCAGAAATAATAAAAGTGTTTGTTTTTCTTTTTTAAATAAACTCATGAACCAAAAATTGAGAAAGGAAATAAACACAAGTCTATATGAAAGGAATCAAAATGTCAAACATTTGGGCATTTGGAAAGTTAAAATTCCATAGACTTATAAACTCTATTAACAATTGATATGAGAAAATTAGTAAATTTGGGGATGGCGTTATCCAAAACATAAAGATATGTACATTGTGTGTGTGTGTGTGTGTGTGTGTGTGTGTGTGTGTGTGTACACAAGCTCATAGAGGTAATGAGGCATTAAGGCTAGATTGAGAACCTCAACATACAACCCATGAGAATTGCCAAAAAAGAAAACAGAAAAATGGCAAAGAATCTATAGCTAAAGAAATGGTACTTTAAAAATTTTCAGAATTGAAGAAAGACCTGTATCTGCAAACTGAGCAAGTAAAATAAATGAGTAAATAAATCATTCTTGTTACACTGTAGCAAAACTGCCAACATCAAGAAGAAAAGACAACTATTTCCTAGTAAAGAATGGCAAGCAGGGCTGGGCACGGTGGCTCACGCCTTTAATCCTAGCACTTTGAGGGGTTGAGGCAGGCGGATCACCTGAGGTCAGGAGTTCAAGACCAGCCTGGCCAACATGGTGAAACTCTGTCTCTACTAAAATACAAAAATTAGCTGGGCATGATGGCAGGTTCCTGTAATCCCAGTTACTCAGGAGGCTGAGACGGGAAAATTGCTTGAACCCGGGAGACGGTGGTTGCAGTGAGCTGAGATCGTGCCATTGCACTCCAGCCTGGGTGGCTGAGTGAGACTCAGTCTCAAAAGAAAAAAAAAAAAAAAAGGGCAAGTAGAATACCAGCAGGCTTTTCAACAGCAACAACATGCGCTGGAAAACAGCAGAGATATTTTTACAAAGTACTGGTGAAAAATAGAAAATTGTACTCAAATGAAATTAGCATACAATGGGGCAATAAAATAAAATATCTTAGATGTTTCAAAGACTAAGAGGGTTACCACACACAGACCATCACTAAGATAATTATTAAATGACATATTTTCAAGAAAAGGCAAAAACAAACTCAGAAGGAATATATGGAGTAGAAGATACATAGAGAATGAAACTAATTAATAGATATAAGATGATAGTAAATTTCACTGACTAATTATTATTTTAAAATAACAAGATGAGCCATGTATAAAAATAAGTGAAACAACATGTTAGACAATAATACAAGATTGGGAAAGTTGGGAATCATGTAATAGTTTAAACTTGCTAAAGTCCATTCATATGGTCTTGAAAGAAAGGTTAAAAATGAATAACTTTAGGAGTTTTCAAAGAAATATTTATAACTAAGGATGTATTTTTAAAAATTGTATTCACTCAGAAAGAAACCAAATATATGTAGTTTTAGGTTCCAAATGATTAGAAAAATACAAAAGCACAATGGAAATATAATTAATCCAAAATAGTAGGAAAGAAGAAAAGAAGCAGCAATAAAAGCAGATGGGAAACAGAAAATATGAAATAGGAAATAGGTATAATTTTATGAATAATTCCAGTAAGTATGTAACTCGCTTACCAGTTGTATACAATTAAAATTCAGTTATAATGTCTTTGCAAGAAAATATTCAAAGACAGAAAAAAAACAGAACAGCTAAAATTAATGAAGGGAAATAATATTTCAATCTGTGAAGGAGACACAGGCATTTTTGTAATAGTATGATGATAAATCTTATGTTTTACAGAATTATTTCTGAAAAATTATAGGCTAATGAGAAAAATAAGATTGAGTCAGACCACTCAAAGTTAATGTAGCTTCATAATTAATTAAAAGGGTGAAAAGAAGTCCAAATATGTCAATAATCACAAATAATATAAATGGACTAAATTAGCAAGTTAAAGTGATATTGTAAAGAGTATGTTTGAATATTTGTAAAACTAATCCATTAAATGGCAATTTACATTAATTTAGTAGTTAAGCTCAAAATATAAGAACATAAAAGGATGAAAAAGATGTGGTATTCATACTAAATTAAATAGATTGTGTGGTCGATGTTAAAAAGATAATCAAGGAAATGCTACACTCCATCTATTAGAATGGCTCAAGTTGAAAAGACTAACAATACTAAGGTTTTCTGTGGATGTGGAAAAAGTGTCACAACTGGAGTGGTGCTACTGGCATCTAGTGGGCAGAGGGCAGGTTTACTGCTTAACATCTTACAATAACAGGACAGGCCTCGCAACAATTATCTGATCCAAAGTGTTAATAGTGTTGAGGTTGAGAAATCCTAAAATAGAATCAATAGACATGCATAAAAATATGTATTTAAAGTGATTCTATCAGTAAGAGCTGATGAATACACCTTTTCAGGTTAAATTTTGGGGGTTTACTTATAACATATGCTTATATGTATACTAGTAACATACTAGTCAAAACACTCACTACAGTTCCATGTCAAAATTTTGTTAATAGCAAAGGTAGCAGGCATCTGTTTTATTGTCAAGAAGTAAAATCAGGATTTCCTATCTTTCACATGAGCGAGGTGTGACAAGCACTTATCTCTCTTGATTGTTTATTGGTAAAACTGGGTAATGCTAACAATTTGGGATTGAGTCTATCACAGATGTTTAAGGCATGCACAGTTTTACTTTGAACAAAAAGTGACAGTTGTAGCAAGAACTGACCCTATCATGTTTGTTCAAAGCGGCTAAAAGTAAGACACTATCACTGAAAATAGCTTCAATTTTGTTTTCAGAGAGGATACAAACATCTCTTGTTACCATAGAGATTTTTGCCATATTTTACATTTTTGGTAAAAATGGATGGGTCATTTAAAAAATCTTAGAGATATGTAATGTTTAGAAGGGAATAAATTATTATTTTAATTAGAATGCTTTCAAAATCAGGGTAATTTTATGATCCACAGATAAATAGCAAAAAGTCAGCTTAATCACATTGGATATTTAAGTGCTCAGTGCCTAATGTATCATACAATCAATGGCTGTGGTATTTGGTATGTGACATTAAGAGAATCATGAAAGTTTCCACAATACAATCAGTTTTATCTGACATATATGTATACATATTTAAATATCTGATAATATATATCATTAAAAACATTGTGACCTCTCTCTATAATGGCAGAGTTAAGCATACATAGTACATGTCTTATTGTGAGAGGGATAAAGTTTTATATTTCTCTTATATACTTTCCTGTAATACAGTAGCAAGAGTAAGTAATTGATAGACACACTATGTACATGTTTATTATTGTTGAAGAAATTCTGTGTAAGGGTGCTTTCCTATGATTTTATAGACAATGCACCATGTAATGTAGAAAGATCTGTAAAAAAAATAGATTTTTCTAGCTATTCTCTATCATAACATACCATTCACACTTTATATTAACATACAAATTGCACAAGGTATTGAAAAGTATTCTGCTCTACCTTATTGTAGAAATCATCATTGCAGCTGGATAACATTTTCCTAGTCATAGATTTTGTTGGAATTTTGTGAAAAGGTTCAAAATTTGTGGTCTCAGTTTGCTGACTTAATAGGTTGCAATATTGCTGTGCAGATTAACTGTGGAAATCTATGAAATAATGTTAAAACAAAAATCTATGTAACATTGACATTTAGGTTTTATCAACAAACAATATATTACAAAATTCCCTGATTTCCGTAGCCTATGCTATTATCTTCTTTTTCTGAATATCTAGGATATTTTACCTACAGCTTAACTTTATATGCTACATTTAGCTCTTTACTATCAGGTAAGAAAATATCTAAAGAAATAAATAGTTGCAAAGAATCCTGATACCAAAATGCCACTCATATATGGAAATTATCTAAATATAGTTTTGAAATTGTGTGTGTTGGGGGTGTCATGATCCTGCCTATCAGTTTGAGTGGTGCAAGATACCCAGGAAGCTACGTTAGGAAGAATCAGAACATGGTTTCCAGATTTTGTAGTCTTTGTGTAGTCCATAATATTGCCGTACTTGAAAATTCATGAAATATAACTGATTAAGACTGTTATAGCATAAGGTAGGTTGTCCAAGGCAAATATGATGGTTTGTTATCTTAGCCATAAAAATTACCTACAAAGTGAATTGCCCATCTGCACAGGCTTGGAATACAAACAATTCGAATGTCACATTTGAACTGATGTTACCATTTTATGTGTTTTCTAACAAACCATTCACAAAATCAATTTTTGCAGTTGATCTCATTTACTAGGTTTCCTGAACATTTTTCTTAGAAAATGAGCTTTATACTTTTTTCTTTATGGCACTGTGCACAGGGGAGTAAGCTTGCCCTTAAACAAACGAAGGAACTAATTGTCACATTATCGGCTGTATTTGGGACATAGGTCAAAAGGTCAATTGAATGCTATGTAGAGCACACTGGGCAGTCTTCCAAGTTCCTGGTACTGCTCCCTCCACATTGAAATAAAAATTTCTGAGGAAGAAAAATGGGCCACTATATGCTCTAATTTAAGATTTCCAAGAAATCTATTATGGTTCACTATTTCTAGAATCATCAACAAGGCAAATGTTATATTGAGATGACAACTTAATTTTCTTTATGTATTTTTTGCCTATTCATCATGAGGTATGTCCAGAATAGGCAAATACAGAGAGCTAACATGTTGATTATTGTTGCTTATGAATAAAGTGATGGAGCATTGGGAGATGGATAGTGGATATATTAAACAGACTTTCTCAAGGTGATGAAAATATTCTACAATTCATTGTGGTGATTGTTGCACAAATCTGTGACTATATTAAAAGCTGTTAAATTTCCCACATTAAATAAGTAAATTGTATGTTAAATGAATTATTTTAAGTATTAAATAGAGAACAACCACTTCTTTCCATGCATTATTTCATCTAGTAAAAATTCTGATTAATATATGTTGCATGCTTAATACATCCCAGTCAGTGTTCTAAATGCAATACATATGTTTAAAGTTTTTTTATGAATTATCTCATTTGATCCTTACAACAAACCTATAATATTGGTACTATTATTATTCCAATTTTATTGATGAGGAAATGGAGACACAAAGAAATGAAATGTTTTGCCAAGGATACACAACTGAATTAGATGGCTTCTCTTAAGTAAAAAACAGCAAACTCAATAAAGTGGGACATACTATAATGATAGTTGTCCTTAGAAACACAGCTCCATTTTTAGCAATCTCCTAAAGCATTCAGCAAGAACTTCTGTGTGCTTCTTTCCCCAAGATACAAAACTTCATTTAAACCCTTCAGGGAAAATTGTGTCAAATTATAAAATTGGCACATAAAAAACTGTACCTGTAAAGCAACTCTAAAATAGCTCCTAAATGTATTGCTGTAAATAAAAAATTCTATGTATTTGTTTGTAAATACACTTTAAAACTTAGATTTGGTTTATCAAAGGAACAATTGTTTGGACTAGGCTTTTAGCAGACTTAAATACATAAGCAAAGTGTTTGTACGTGGTATGTGGTTATATGTACAAGAATATGAAAACAATACATTATGTGCAATTTCCAGAGTAAGAAGTAGAAATAAAAGGTGATAAAATTAGGTACCAACAGACAATATAGATTTATTAAAGGATTCAAGAGGTAAAGTCAGACATTCATAAGGAGGAAATGAAGCCCAACTGAACTCTGACCTGGAAAGTCATCAATCAGGGCTTATTTCTTAAGCTTTGAGAGTTTCTATGGTCAATCACACTTCTAGATCGCTATATTTCTCTCCCCCATTTTTATCCTTTGTTTATCTGCTTCTTGGAATTACTTGAATTCTGTATGTCCACATATGGCAGCTTCAGCTCCAATTTTACTATATCTTAAACTCTAAACCCAGGCTAAATACAGATTGTGTCTTTTAATTCTGAATCTTGAAAAAAGGAATGCGATGTGCATGACTAAGCCAATGAATTGTCTAATTTGGGGTCACGTGTATGTATCTCAGCCATTGCCAATGGTGCAGAATCCTCTAGTACAGCGATCTCCAACATTTATGGCACCAGGAACTGGTTTTGTGGGAAGCAATTTTTCTGTAAATGGGTGCGGGGTGGGGACGGTGGTTGAGAGGTTGGTTTCAGGATGATTCAAGCACCTTACATTTATTTGTGCACTTTATTTCTATTACTGTTATATTGTAATATATAATGAAGTAATTATACAACTCACCATAATGTAGAATCAATGGGGTCCCTGAGCTTCTTTTCTTGCAAGTAGACAGTCCCATCTGGGGGTGATGGGAGACAGTGACACCCTAAGTTTTCAACACCTGAAGTGTCTACTCCATAATCTAATTTTGGTAGCTGTCACTGCAGAAAACCCTGCTTCACAAAGATAGGATGTTGAAAATGGAAGCCGGCTTTTCAATGCTTTTGTGGCAATCTCAGAATATTTCACCTTGACTTTCAAACAGAATGCATGGCGATTTGAAGTTGTTTCAAACATAATTTTAGGGCCACAGTCATTTGTGATCTCAAACAGTTGATCCTCTTTCTAGCTTGGACAAAGTTGATTCACCTGGCTTATTCACAAATGGGTTGTAGATTCATCTCTTCTCAGTTCAGGGGTCTTTTGTGGTTGGAAAGTAATGCTTAAACTCTTTTGAAAGCTGATATAGGTGATCGTGATCATGCACCAGCTGAGAGAAAGAAGACCCTGTCTCAGCCTTTCTCAAAATCTCTGGTAATGTTTGAAACATGTCAGAAATCCCAATGTTCGCCCCCATAATTCTAGTTTGGCTTTGAATGCAGCCACTTTATCTACTCACTTGAACACAGTTGTCATTCTCCCCTAAAGTGATAGATTGAGTTCATTGAGCAGGTTGAATATGTCACACAAGTAAGCAAGTTTTGCCACCCATTCTGTGTCAGTGAAATGTGCTGCCAGTGGTGACTCTTTTTCTAAAACAAATCTCTGGAGTGGCTCTTGTAACTCAAAAACTCTGGCCAGCGATCTACTTTAGAAAGCTATCTCACTTCTGTATAAGAGAAGGCATGTGTGCTTTGAGTGAGTTAAAGACATGTACTTTAACTTTAATTATTGTGGTCAATAATTTTAATCACATCATGCAAAACATTGCTAAGTTCAGGTAACATTTTTCAGCTAGCCAGCATTTCTCGATGGATGACACAGTCCATAGACTCACAATCAGTAGTGGCCACTTTGACTTGAGTAGTGAAATCAGAAAGCAGTTCAGTCATGGCAGCCACTCTGTGCATAAACTGACACAAAATCACCAATTTAGTTTTTCTATTGTGTAATCATTCAAAGATTTGAATAGTTCTGCATCTGTGGTGTTGGTTGGCAAAGTGCACACAACATATGCTCAGGCACATCCTCCTGAAAAAATATATCACACAAAAACATTGTTGTTTTGTTGTCAGCATTGGTAGATTCACCAACATGGATTGAATATCACAGTGACTCATTAATCCTTTTTAACAATTGTGCCTCAATATCCTCTGCTATTTCAACAACTTGTCTATTTATGGTGTTGGCTGAAAGAGAAACACGTGCCACCTTTTGAATGCAGCCTCTCCTAAAAGTTCATGATGAATGTCCTTAGCAGCAGGCAGGACCAACTCTTCACCAATAACAAAGGGCTTATTAGCTTTAGCAATGCAGTTAGCCACTAAGAATTATGCTGTCAGTGCAGACACATTTGATGAAGTGGTGGCCTTCAATAATTACTTCTGTTCTTTGTGTTCACATTTTTTACTCTTTTGAAAAACTCCAAAGACATGTCTTTTAATGAAGTGAGCTTGGTTTCCATGTGGTGAAGGAGTTTTGATGGTTTCATGGCTTCGTTGGATAGTGGGTCACCACATATCATACAAAGTGTGCTTGAAGAATGTGAATCACCTGTTGCAATGAACCTGGAATTTCAGTGGGACTCCTGGTTTTTTCTTTTAAATGCAGCTTTCTTTATGGTTGACATTCTTAGTGTCTTAGAGTCTTCCGCTGTCTCATCACTGGGTCTTTCCCCCTTTTGAAAGATGCTCTCCAGTGATGTTTGTGTTTTATTCATTTTGGCTAGGGTTAGCTTGTGGGCCTACCAAAACTGTGACTAAGACAAATGCACAGTGCGGGAAAGAGGTGTGGATAGAAATGGTAAATAATATAATGATGGGCGGCCCATGCACAAACCAAAATAAGTGTCAGATTCTGACTTAAAGCCTGCCACCAGATGCAGCTGTACAATTGGAGTACATCAACTCACTTGCCACTATAAAGCCTGCCACCAGATGCAGCTTAATTGCCACTTGCCACTTACTGATAGGGTTTTGATATGAATCTTCAAGCAATTGATTATGGTCTCTGTGCAGTCAAACCTCTCTGCTAATGTTAATCTGTATTTGCAGCCATTCCACAGCACTAGTATCACTGCCTCAGCTCCAGCTCAGATCATCAGGCATTAGATTCTTATAAGGAATGAGCAACCTAGATCCCTCAAATGCACAGTTCACAATAGATTTCACACTCCTGTGAGAATTTAATGCCACTGGTGATCTGACAGGAGGTGGAGTGCAGGAGGTAATGCAAGCAATGGGGAGCGGCTGTAAATACAGATGAAGTTTCACTTGCTCACCCACCACTCACCTCCTGCTGTGCGGCCCAGTGCCTAACAGGCCACAGATCAGTGGTACCTGTCTGTTGTAGTAGATAAATATGGTCCTCCAAAGTCTACAGACAGGGCAGGTTTCTAGAAGGAGACTGAAGATGAGTGTTCATATGCAATGTTTTAGAAATACATTGTTATTATTATTAGTTCTTATTATTTTGATCTAAAGGAACAGCTGGTAAGAGTTAAAAAGCTGTATTTCCAGCAATGCCTTATCTTTTTGTTCTTTGTTACAATGTCATAGTTCATTCAGGCTGCTATCACAAAATACCATAAACCAGGTGACTTATAAACAACAGAACTTTATTTCTCACAGTTTTGGAGGCTAGGAAGTCCAAGATCAAGCTGCCAGCAAATTCAATGTCTGGTAAGGTCACACTCTCTGGTTTATGAGCTGTGTCCTCACATGGTAGAAGGAGTAAATAAATTTTCTGGGGTCTTTTTTATAAGGGCACTAATTCCATTCATGAAGGTTCCATTTTCATGATCTGATTACCTCCCAAAGGCCTACCTCCTAATACTATTTATCACCTTGAAGATTAGAATTTCAATATATGAAATTTTTGGTGGGGGGCAGACAGACATTCAGACTATAACATTAGATTATACCTAAAGAAAGAAGATGAACATTTTCTGATATGAACTATTGCCAAATATCTACCCTGATATAAAGTGTGATTTCAGACTTAGAATTTACATATGGAAAAATGAAATTCCCCAAAATAAAAAATAAAAATAAGTAGAAAGGAGGAAAAATTACTAGCATCATTGCTGGCATTTTTTTTTTTTTGCATATTAGAACAAATTGTCACAATGTGCTAATTACAGGGAAATGACAGCAAAATAATGATGTGTTCATCAATACTGGGACCCTGCCATGATTTCCTGTGATGTACACCTGTTTTTCTTCAATGTGGAGTTAGTCATAGCTCAAGATTTTGAGGTCTTCAAAAAACTTACAAAACAGCACATACAGAACCAGATTATAATAGCAGTAACAAAATATTATATTTTTTGATTTATCAGATAAAGAGTTGGCCCACTCTCATCCTCCAAGCACACAGCTTTGTATTCAAACTAATTTAATTTGCTTTTGTATTTGATGAAGACTATCATATTGGTGAAAATTCAAGTCAGAGAATGTTATTTACTACATTAAGAAGTGTGACATTAGCTATAGCTTTTTGGGTAAGAATTTATATTCTACAAATGAAATATTTAACATCTGTCAGAGTTATACTCCACTTAGATCTTAAGTGTTGATAAGATTGGAAGGCGCTGACTTCTTTGTAAAGAGAAGCTGAAATAGAGTGACCAATTGTCTTACAACCTGCGTTCTAGAATAAGAAATCATGAAGAGAAAGAGTAAGAGCTTCTAAATAAATATTTAAAAAGAGCAATTATTCTCTTAAATTTGTGTCCTTTCTGGATTACTAGAATTACAAACTCCTAACACCTGTTTTCCAGGCATGCACGGCAGTTAGAAAAGTGCATAACTGGCCGGGTGTGGTGGCTCACGCCTGTAATCCCAGCACTTCGGGAGGCTGAGGCGGTGGATCATCTGAGGTCAGGAGTTCGAGACCAGCCTGGCCAACCTGGTGAAACCCCATCTCTACTAAAAATATGAAAATTAGCTGGGCATGACAGCGGGCACCTGTAGTCCCAGCTACTCGGGAGACTGAGGCAGGAGAATCATTTGAACCTGGGAGATGGAGGTTGCAGTGAGCTGAGATCATGCCATTACACTCCAGTCTGAGTGACAGAGCAAAACTCTCTCAAAAAAGACAAAAAAAAAAAAAAAAAAAAAAAAGAAAAGAAGAGAAAAGTGCATAACTATCAATTTTTGGTTTCTGTATTGCAATCCAAAAGGATGTTTATCTGCTAATCAAACCCTTATGTGATTTTTTTAAATAATTGATTGTTTATTCTTACCCCAGTGTAGAAAAGTCCCAGTGTAGAAAAGTTTTAGAATTTTTTGATAATTATTGTTTATAAAATGGCTACAATACAGCTTAGTTCTTGTGTATAATCTAAGATGACTCAACTCGTGTATTTATTTTAAAATAGTTGAATTTTTATTATTCATTTATTTAAAAATAGTTGAATTTAATAATAGTCTTTTACTTGTAGGCCGGATGATTCTTATAAGCCACCTAATTTGTTTAATCTTCTTCACTTTTAAATTGTAATGCCACCTAATTTGTTTAATCTTCTTCACTTTTAAATTGGTGGCTTTGGCAGTTATTAGACTGATAAAAATACAGAGTTGCTTTAGATACCAATAATGAGTTCATTAGATGGGCAGAGGGACTATGAACAAAGTTTGAAGAATTGTATTTTTAAAATTTGAAATGGTATCTAGCACTAAGAAAATTTGTAAAAAGTTAGTTGGGATCCTAACAAAATCTATTAGTGTCTGGAAGAATATTACTCACTTTTTTTCTAGGAAACAAGAAAGAAAAACAGAGTTTATTAACTGAGGGAATAGAGAGCAAAAATTACGATCAGTGAGCATTTCCTATTTCTCTTGTCCCCATTTACTTGAGGCACTAATTTAATTTAGACAACTGGAGAAGACATGTTTTATATGGTTTTCCTCTTCAGAGTCCTAAACTTTAATCACTTGCATATAGTTAGAAAGTAAGATAATGTGTTTCTGTCAAAGGATGTCTCAAGCTGCTTTCTTCGGAAGTAGAATGAGCTAGGAGTTCACAGAGTCAACTGGAAGACTTCAGACATCAACAAGGAATAGACCTGAGTTCACATCCTATTCTTGCCACCTGATATCTGCGTGTTGTTGGGAAGTTACTTGTGTATGTACATGAATCGCTGTATCTAATTCTAGAAAAATGAAATAAGAAGTACACTTTACATTATTATGATGATTATGTGATAACATGCAAACTGACTCAACATAAATATTACTTGCTTACCCTTTTCATATCTGCAGAAGGAATAGGGACAGAGACCATTTCACATTGCAGTATCTTTGGGACTAAGAGATCAATTGTACTTTTCTTTCTACGCTTAAGAGTTTCAGCCTGGCATCTTGTCCATAGCACATGCTCCATATCTGTGGATTACATGAAATTAAATCTACTTCTGATATCGAGTACACAATTGCTAAATTGTACAATGTGTAACTGATAAGTATATTTTCCTGGGATGAAAGGGCTAAGAAGATACAAAAATAAAGGCAAGAAGCATTCTCACATCATAAAACTATAATTTGGGTTGATAATATTTAAAACAAGTTAATTGATCAAAGTCGGTGTCATTCTAGATGTTTTGTGTTTCTATAATAAGGATATTTCATCCATAACTCTTTGTGATCTTAGGAAGTTACTTGTGCTCTTTCACTTTCTGATTCACATAAGAAAAGATTTGATCTAGATGATGTCTAAATTACCTTTGATTAAAAAGTTTTAAAATTTTGTAAACTATAAACAACTCAAAAGTATTTTGTATTATAGCCAGCCCTCTTATGCTGTCTTATTCTTGTCTACTCTTATGTATCTCTGTATTTCTGCATGAATTTAGTTTTATATATATATATATATAATATATGCATACACACATATTCACATATAGAAAGTACACATACATACATATATTCGTGTGTGTGTATATATAAATATATATATCATATGCACATTGCACACAATTTTAAGGTTTAAAATGACAATACTATTAATAGGTTTTCTGACTTTTTTCTCTCAGTTTTATGTCTTAATGTTTGATAATATTGTTGCCTGTGGTTGTATGTGATCACTTTTACTGTTATGCAGTAATTTATATATATACAGATGTATACATATATACACTTCAATTTATATATGAACTTTCCTAAAGTTTAA
Organism: Homo sapiens; assembly: GCF_000001405.40. Classification (NCBI taxonomy): domain Eukaryota; kingdom Metazoa; phylum Chordata; class Mammalia; order Primates; family Hominidae; genus Homo; species Homo sapiens. Next base: position 192,296,621 of record NC_000002.12, read on the forward strand.
TTACACATACAAGCCTATACATATTTTTATATATAATTTAGATCAAAGTATATATATAATTGATATTGTAATTTTTTACCACTTATGTTTTAAGAAATTTTTAAATTTTAGTTTAAAACTCTTTGTGACAATATTTTTAATGACTTTATTTCTTTTATTTATGTATCATATTTCCTTAAGCCATTTTCTAATGATAGAATTTGATTTTCCTCCAATTTTTCTCTAATAAGTGTAACATAAATATCTTCACAAAATTTTTCTTTAATGCTTTATTTCTCATTATTTTATAATAATATATTTCCAGAAATAGAATTAGTTATTCAAAGAGAATCAGTGTTTCAAGGCATTTTATTAGTAATTGAAAATTGCTTTTATAAGTAATTGAACTAAATTTTTCTTCTACCAATTCTATATGCAAATAGGTTTTTGTCTGTGCCCTACAATCATTGGGTATTTTCAAAAACAAATAAAAGGCAAACAAACTTTGCCAATTTGTTAGGCAAAATTTTGTAATTTATCTTTATTTTCATTTGCATTAGTAAAATGAATGATAGTTCACTATTTGTTTTTCCTCCTTTCGAAAATATCTGTTTATATAATTTGCTTATTTAATCCTACTGCATTCTTCTTTTTTAAAGAAGAGGCAGGACTACTAATTCTTCAGTGACTCATTTGATCATGCAGATGGTGCCAAACATAAAATGGTTTGTTTTCTTGAACTGAATTGATTACTTTCCTGTGAAAGAACCCAGGGAAATGAATTCTAAGTGATGTGACTTGTCCGATTCCCAGAAGCATAATGATTTCAGTAGGAAGAGTTATTTTTGCTGATGGAGTTTTTCAGAAGAAAATATTTATATAACTCTGAAAAGTCAGTTTTCACATGCAAATTTACTCTTCTGCATTATAGAAAGAGTCCAGTTGCGGAACTGCCTCATATTTTTTCATCACTGACATTTCAATATCCTTTTATTTCCTTCTAATCTCTTTTTCTCTTTTACTCAGCTCATGCAAACCAACAAACATTGGACCCAGACCAAGTTTTTTACTTACCCCTTTTTTCTCTCTTAGAAATGAATAAGAATTGCTTTCAAAAAGCTCAAGTATATGAGTTAGATCTTAGCATTACGTTTATGACACTCGCTTTTCTTTTCCAATGACTTCTCTCATATTTCTACTTATTTTAAACTACTCTGTTTCTACTTACTCAGTATAATGATTTCTATTTAATCATACTTAGTATTGCTATAGATACGCAACAACAAATCAAGATTTTAAGCATGTTTAAACAGAGTTTAGTGTTTTATTGATGTTTAGTTCAAGGACATTAGAGTCAACTGTCTTGGTTTAAAATAGCATCTCTGCCACCTTTTAGCTATGTAATATCTTAGTTCCACCACACTGGAAACTTCTCTGAGATTCACCATTTTAAAGATTAAATGATATACGGTAATTAGAAAGACAGTTTATCATTACACATATCAAAGAGGAAGCAATCACTAACTGGTCACTGTCATGTCATCTAAGCACTTTTAGTATCTTTTCTTTGCCATATTTTGGGGGAAGTGACCAAATAAACACTTTCTGGAAAATACAAAATACAACCAAAGAACAAATAACTTGTTTAATAAAATGTGTGCAAATTCCAGTTGCTAGATTAGTGGAATGACTACTTTCTCAATATTTATTTTTCTGTATTCATTAGGATAAATTCTAAAGGAATGGTTTCCAAACCGTGTATCACAGATTCTGGAGACTCTGCAGACCTAACTTAGAGGCTAATAGAAGCAAAGACCCAGTGGGTGGCATTCTATCTCTCCTCTGGCAGAGCAGGTCCACTTTCCACTTTTTTCTTTTTATGTTGAGAATATTCTGTCTTTTGAAGGCGGCTGCTATTTTGCTTGCGGAGGACAAACACTTCTGAGATTGGTATCTCAACCCTTTGACTCTATCAGAAATTTTCAAAGATGGACAGAATGAGCCACACAATCTGTAGGTCACATGCAAAATTAAAATGCAGGTCTCTTCAAAAATTATTAGGAATTTGAAGACAGCAGAATATTAAACCAAATCAGGGGCTCTTCTGAGTGTAGGGCCCTCTGTGACTGCACAGGTTGCAGGCTCATGAAGCCAGCCCTAAAGATGGGACAGGAAGAGGCCTGGGTGGACACATATGCATAGGATTCTATTGCTGTGGCTTTGCCAAGATTCCATAGGAGGGGAGTGTGCTGCCAAATGCTCATCAGAATCAGCGGGTTCCTCCTCCCCACTTCTGCCACCAGTGTGCTGAGGCTTCTAGCCGTTAATTAGCATGCTGGCATTGTTTGCCTGAGTCATACCTCCACAGCCCTCTTCTGATGGAAAACAGTGAAAAGATAAGTCAGATTTAATATCAAACTAAAAGAAATGAAACATATTCGAACAGCTGTTTGTAAGTTGCATGTATCTTAGAAATCTTCTCTACCTCATTAAAAATTAATTAAATATTTAACCATCTTAATTTAAAATTGAGCACATTGTCTCTGGAAGGTACCCATTCCCTAGAAGAGAGAGTCAATATTGAGAATGAGTGTCCAGTGAACTGCTGCTTCATGGTTTATTATTTTTTCTTTTCTTTGGCTTTTCAGATGAAGACATAGCTATAATTCTTATGTATTTCATTGGAGTGATAGCCCAGCAATGTCAAAGCTGTAGACCTAATGAAGCTGGGCATACATGATGATGTAAAAGCTTTGATTATGTATCTCTACCTCAACTTGGGATAAAAGCTCTCATGGCAAAACAAAACAGATAAACACAAAGTATTTTTTTTCCCTAGTCAAGGTTCATTTTTCAGCTTCTTTCCCTTGGATCTACTTCAAGGATGCCATATCTGAGACACTTTCAGATTCTGCTATTTATAAGCTTTGATTTAGGAGGCTTGTTCTTAGGAATATCAAGCTGTCAAATGTCAGGTGCCTCTGGATTTATCTTTTTTTTTTTTTTGGCTATTCTCTTGCAACATGAAAGCTATCTAGCAAGGAACCTTCTTTGTCAGACGGCTCTTCTGAAAGTAGCACAAAATTAAAATATTAATAATAGCCACTTGAAACTAGTTAGGGAGGTACAGCATTGCAATGTCTGACACACTGTCCAGACTCCCTGTTTATCGTTCTGGATGTTATAAAGCTCTGTCCAGCTTTCTTCTTCAAGACTGAGCCACTGGTTACCCAGCTACTGGGGAGGACGTCAGTTCGTGGCTCGCCCACTGGCTTCCTCCCTGGCAATTGCCTTGGCCTAGGAGAGCTACCTTCCCAGTATAACCTGACTTCAATAACTGGCAGACACAAGATTTAAAGGCCCAATACTCTCACTCCAACTGGGAACACCTGCAAGGGCAATCTATAGTAGCTTCAGAGTTTCCTGTGGAGTTGGTCCAGCCCTTTGTGTGACTGTATCAGACTTCTCCCTTGGTCCAATCCTGCTCTCTTTTTCTCCTATAGGTGTTAATCCCAACAGCAGGACCGACTACATAATTTGCGGGACACAGTATGAAATGAAAACGCAGACTGATTCTTCAAAAAGTAGGAAATGAAACGTATCCGAATAGCTGTTTGTAAGTGACATTAAAGGTACTAAAACATAAAGCTTTTCCCTTTCTTTCATGGGTTCTCTCTTCATCTGTCCAGACGTTTTTGTTGTTGTTGTTATTGTTGCTTAATGGCATTCTAGGTAAATAAATATTAAATGTTTAAAGTATTAGCATGAATTTTAGTGTTAATCTTTAGATTGTGCAATGCTTATTTTAAAGGCAAACATAGAGCATTTAATTCATATTTTGAATCGTTGAAATTACACAATTCATTTCTGTAGTAGTCTGAATATTTGTGTCCTCCAAAATTTATATGTTGAAAGCCAATCACCAATGTGATGGTATTAGAAGGCAAGGCCTTTGGGAGATAATTAGGTCATGAGGGCGGGGCCTTCATGAGTGGAATTAGTGCTCTTACAAAAGAGACCCTGAAGAACTCCCTTGCTCCTTCAACCATGTGAAGACACAGGGAGGGCCCCATCTATTAACCATAAAGCTGGCCCTCACCAGACATCTGAATCTACTGACCCCTTGGTCTTGGGCTGCCCAGCCTCCAGAACTGTGAGAAATAGAGTTCAGTGGTTCATAAACTAACACCAGGGGATGGTGTTATGCTATAGTGTCCTGAACAGTCTAGCACAATTTTTCATACCTCCTACATGTACTCTATTCAACTCTTCCCTTGTGCTCCCTTTATATCTCTATATACCTGTAGGTAAGGAATTTGGCCCAGAATTAAGTAGGAGAACATGAAGGTATGGTTTAGACAATCCTGGGTGGGGAGGTATGGAGAATTTATTAACATTGTTCTGAGAAATCTATATTATTTGTGATTCTATAGTAAGAGAAGCTTCCCAAGAGGCCAGAAATATTTAAAGGTTTCTTCTGAAAAGTGTACGCCAGTACATGGTACACAACATTTGCTTATAAAAATATTTAAGATGTCTAACACATTTTGATTGAATGTAATATTTAGGTAATGTGAGCAGTTGTATAAATAATAAGCATCTGTATCAAAGTAATCCGTTTTGGGGAATAGTAATTTTAATTATTTATGGGCTAGATAAATGAGATTGGAACATATTTTTTATAAGGCATTATGCACCTTTGTGGAGTCCTTCTGCAGGTCTCAAAAATAATGAGCTATGTACAGTATCATTTGTCACCAATTACATGAATCAGAAAGTTATGAGTGTTTTCACAGTTTCAGTGTTAGATACTTTAATTCCAAGGCATATTCCTAGTGTATATATCAATTCTATTATACTTCATTAACAGAAAATAGAAAGATATTTATCAAAGCATTACAGAAATAACTTTAGCAGAAAGAAAACATATGAATAGAATCTTCTGAGAAATACTTTAAGTTATATTATTTGGGAGGAAGTAATGATACTCCATTATTTAATCATCTGAAGAAAGGAAATAAAATGTTTAAATCCCTCAGATTATAGATCTATAGTACTCATTGCTGAATTAATTAACTTCATATTTATGTGCTTCTTTTGCTACTAAGTCCAGCTTTTACCATATTTAGGATTCTAAAATAAAAAATATTCTCCATTTTATGAGCTATAAAAGTGTATTCTTTTAAGAGGTATTTTACAGTCAACACACACATAGCTCTTAGAAGAAGGCAAACCTAACATACCTAACTAGCTCCTGATACTTTTTATGTTTTCCATTTTGCTTGAATTTTAACAATGGTTGTCACCATCCAAATAAGGTTTTACTTCACATAAGCTATTGACAATTATCTTTCACTAGAATTACAGTCAGAATCCCAATTACCTTACTAAAATATTTTCTTCCTATTTATAAAAAAAAAACATGGTTTTTTTGGCTTTAATATGTATACAGAAAAATTTTCAGGAAATGGTTATTCAGTTATAATCTAATACTTTATTTAGTGGGCAGCTTGGTTTTATTTAGAGGTTCTTATCATGGCATCATTGATTTTTCTAGAGCATTGATTTCTATTTTCCCCTCCTTTTTGATTTCTAAAGTTACAAACTGTTTTCATAAGTTGTACCAATTTAATATAGTAAGGGGCCCTGTAAACAAGGGTTACTACAGGAGAATAGAAATATGAAATTAGACCACATCACACGTTTTTCTAACTTGATGAATTTTAGGCTGTCTATTATTACACAAATGGACCTATTTATGTATGGGGAAATGGGACCAAAGTCAAACCTTTAAAAACAGACTTCTAGGAAAGCAGATCTTAAAGTTCACATGTGGAGTAAGTAAAAATTGAATGAAATGACTTATTAAAGGTACATCAAAGTTCTTAGGCCATAAAAGTTTTGATTCAGTATCATAAGGAAGTTCACATTTGATGTCAGGTTATTAAAAACAGAAAATGAAGGAAAAGCAGGACAAGCCAAACCTGAAGCTGGGACCAGCTGATGGAGTGAAGATATCTGTATCTATAGCTGTGTATATATATATACATGTCGATTTCTATGTATACATCTAAAGTTATTACCATGGAGAACAATAAGTACAGAATGAGCAGTTGGTGAATATTATGCATATATAGGGCCAATCCAAGATAGGGGATATCTAATCAGACATGAGGACAGAGGACAGGCGAGCAGAATCTGGGCTTAGACAAAGCATTTATTCTGGGCATGAGACAATAGAGAATAGCAAAGCTAAGATTAACATCTTAGATTCAATATTGATAGAATATTTTAATAGAAGTACCATTGGGGTTAGATTATTTATATTATTTTAGGAGCTACCTGCTCTGATTATTAGTAACTCACTTGGCTGATGTATGCCAATATTTTGCAAAGCAGTCTCTACATGGGGTGTATTCAAAGACTATAGGGTATACAAACATGACATGACTATAGTCTTTCAACATATAGAAATATAGAAAATATTGTTTGGCTCAATGAGAGTTAATAAGCCTAAAGGTCCTGAATGGTCTTATATTGTACTCTGTATTTGGAACAGGCCACTGATCCTTCTCAAATAGGTTTAACTCATCTTCCAATGTGAAAGTTTTTGTCCACAACATATAAAATGTCTACACTGTATTCACATATAATTAGAAGCAGGAGCTACTCCATATTTGTATGTAGCTTTGGACGTTGCCATTTATTTGATTGTGACAATACCTGTTGAGAAAGGGATCACTGGCATTATTTCCATTTTTTAGATGAAGAAATGTTTCAGAAATAATGTATCCATTAAATTTCAAGTGCCTAATATAGGGGAAGGCAAGAGTACCAGAAATATATATTCTGATTACTGGATAAATACTACTGATACTAAGCAATCTTGCATTCACTAAAGCTACCAGATTCTGTTTGGCATCTATGTTTTTCTTGCTACTTAATTTTTTTGTTGCTTAATGAAAACTATATAAGGTAAAATTAACTAATGTAATTTACTATTTAATGACCTTAGAATACTCAGGGTTTGATTTAGAAAATATCAATGATATCCATTCCATTCATAGAATAGAAGTAAGGGGACATTCTAACTCAGGCATGGGTACATTTTTAACTCTGTAAAGGGACAGAGACGAAATAGTATAGGCTTTGCTGACCACATAGTCTGTGTTGCAAGTATTCAACTCAGCACAGACAATGCATAAGCAAATGGGCATGGTTATGTTCCAATAACACTTATTTACAGAAACAAGCCTCTGCTCCAGATGGTAAAGTGAGCACCTTTTCTTACCATCAAATACCTAAGTGGTCTCAAACACACAAAGAAAACTCTGTCCTACTCCTCATATTCTTTAGGGATTATTTTAATGGCATATACCTATATTAAATGGTTTCTACCCAGAAACCAATACATTTGATTGGAAAAATAAGGCTGATAAAGATGAAATCAGGTCACATATAAAGGAATCAAAACTATTGTAGAGATGACTTACACATGGTTATATACACAGTATTGACAGTGCATCCTTAATTAACTATTACATTATTATCTGAATTTGAGGTCATTTTAATGAAAAAAAGAATTTCTAGGAAAATTTTTTGCAATAATGTACATGAGTAATTAAATTGTTTCTAGAATAATATATTATTGAACTAATGAAAGTTTTATAAATTGAAAGAATAATCTTGGAATTGCTTATTTGTTCATAAGTTCTAATGATAGATTAAAAAAGGTGTTCATGAAATATATGTGTATGTTTACAGCCTTGAGATTACTTCAATTTAAATCTTCACTATTTGACTTTTTGATTTTTTAGGGTGGAGATTTTAGCAGAATAATAGCACATAATAGTAAATAATGATTGCATTTATTTTGTTTTTGAACTTTCTCTGAAATCCTTATCATCAAAGTTATTTTCTTTAGGTATTTTTTGACTATACAGTTTGAAAAATTAGTGCAATTTAGAAATGAATTCCCTTCCCCTATGACATCAGGCAATAGCCTGAAAGAAAGGCTTTACACATAGCCAAGCCAAACAGGAAAATATACATATCCCATGGCGATTCTCTTCCTTTGTATTAAAAAAAAAGAAAAAAAAGCTAAGATGCTTTGATTAATGGCCAATTTTCTACCTAGCCTAATTTGTAAAACTACCTCTACCAATACACTCTAAAATCATATACATAATTCAATGATTTATATTTAATCCAGTAATGTAGATTTTATCAAATAGTGAGAGAACTTAGGAAATACTATATCTAGGGCACACACATATATCTGTTTTTATGGAGTATTTTCTTCTCTTTGCAATATATGTAACATATGCTATATGTTTACTAATATTTTTTCACTTATAAATTTGTAGGCTTTTACATTTATTTGTGTACAATTTAAATAACTGGTTTGATTATTTGTTTTTGAGACAGAGCCTTGTTCTCTCGCCCAGGCTAGAATGCAGTGGTCCAACAATGGGTCACTGCAGCCTCTAATTCCCGTGCTCAGCCTCAGACTCCCGAACTGCTGAAATTACAGGCATGAGCCATCATGCCAGGCTAAATAGTTTGTATAGTACACAAAGCATAATTAATTAAAATATGTCTGTAATCTCATTGTAGGCCATACACTGCTTTTTTTGGTTGATTTTCTGTGCAGCAGCCACTCCTCTTGACTTTCAGTATAGGAACAGCTCAGTGATTTTCCCATAGGAAATCATTACTTTCCACTTCTCATTTCATATGGTAAGGGAACACACATTTCACCCAGCTTAAGTACATCAGGTTTATTCCTTTCCCACAGCCACACTGATTTATTTAATAATAAGCAGATGACCCAAATGGAACAAAGAAGGTCAAGTTCAGGACTTTTCCTGGAAATACTGGGAAACAGGTGTTTTCTTTCGATGATGTCCTTCAACAACTCGGACATGCTCTTGTGTGGGCCCAACATAAAGAGTTTGAGAATAAAATCAAGAGAGGACAGAAGAGAACTGTGCACAGATGACATAAATGAAATTTTGAGTTATGTAAGTAATGAAGCTCACTCTCCCTCATCCATTTACCTTTTTGTTTGTTTGTTTTTGGCTTAAGCAAATTGGAGAGTGTTTGTTATCACTTACAACTAAAAGGGTCTTTACTAGTACACCCAGCATCTAGAGAAGGTCACTGGGAGCCATTTATTGTATTTCTTTCCAGTGGTTATGGATGAATGTATGAATGCATTTGTCATTATGATTATTTTTTATAAAATTATATAAGAGTTTAAGAAAACTGAAAGTAAATTTTATCCTATATAGTTTTAATTAAACAATGATATATTACTAGTCAAAAAAACAGTTAAAATTATAAAGAACTTTTAGTCGCTAGAAAAGCAAAAATATCACTCTCCCCTTCAATTTAATAAAAAATAAAAATGGTAAATAGGACAATAGACGTAAAACACAGTAAAAACAATCTAATATAAGTAGTCTATAGAGAAGATAGAAAAAGGCTAAACATTTCAATGTTAACAATACTATAGGCTGGGCCGGGCGCGGTGGCTCACGCCTGTAATCCCAGCACTTTGGGAGGCCGAGGCGGGCGGATCACGAGGTCAGGAGATCGAGACCATCCCGGCTAAAACGGTGAAACCCCGTCTCTACTAAAAAAAAAATACAAAAAATTAGCCGGGCGTAGTGGCGGGCGCCTGTAGTCCCAGCTACTTGGGAGGCTGAGGCAGGAGAATGGCGTGAACCCGGGAGGCGGAGCTTGCAGTGAGCCGAGATCCCGCCACTGCACTCCAGCCTGGGCGACAGAGCGAGACTCCGTCTCAAAAAAAAAAAAAAAAAAAAAAATACTATAGGCTGGGTGCGGTGGCTTACTCCTGTAATCCCAGAACTTTGGGAGTCTGAGGCGGTCAGATCGCCTGTGGTCAGGAGTTCGAGACCAGCCTGGCCAACATGGTGAAGCCCTGTCTCTACTGAAAAAACAAATATTAGCCAGGCATGGTGGTGGGCTCATGTAATCCTGGCTCCTAGGGAGGCTGAGGCTTGAACCTGGGAGGCGGAGGTTGCAGGGAGACAAGATGACACTATTGCACTCTGGCCTGGGTGACAGAGGGAGACTCGGTCTCAAAAATAAATAAATAAATACACACACACACACACACACACACACACACACGACTTAAAATTCCATATAAAAGGGAAGACTCCATAATGGAGACATTATTTCATTTGATCAATTTTGAAAAGATTAAAAAATATTAGTGTTGTTACAGGTTCAATAAATATATCATTCTCATGTCACTAGAGGAAACTGAAATTGTTTTAACCATTCCAGAGGACATTTGGTAAAGGCTATTGTGATGTAGAGGTTTGATATCTGTTTTATATTTAATTCTTCCTCCTGGAATTTGGGAACATTTTCTCCAGGTTGTAATCTGCACTATAGATTTAATATTGACCTTTTTCATTTCTAACTTTCATGAGCATATATCTAGCATCCCAAAGTATAGAACTCTGAAGGGCAAAAAACATAATACTTAATTTTATGTCCACAAAAGCTAGAAACTAGTTTCAAATCATATATTGTAAATAACTATTTTGATGCTAATATTTTAGACACACATAATTTATGTAAACTTGATATTTCATTCCTTCATCTTAAATAATTCATCCACAAAATAATTTATTACCTGAGACAAAAATCACATATATTGAGTGATTTGGGATAAGTGTCATTCACATAATAAAATTAGATAAACCACTATTTTATTTTATGTGATATTTATGTGAACATAAAAAATTTAGTATTGAAGATTAGAAAAGTAATATTTTTAATTATGATGTGTAAGACATTTCTACTGAATGACTTTTATATATTTTATTGTTTAATTTTCTAATAGGTAGATTTAGTTATCATAATGCTCTGGACAGGGGAAGTAAAGTTTGGAGAGATTGTGTAACTTGTCCTTATTACATGGCTTGTGGAGGTGGAAATGAATGTAAACCCGACCATCTTATTCTCAATTCTGTATCATGAGCTCAACCAAATGGCAATACTATTACTCTGGCTCTGGGGAATTTAGTGGATAACTCTTCCATAGAGAGGGAGGAAACTGGGGTTGTGGGAATGGGATGACATATTAGTGGAGGCATTTGCTGAGCATGTGTGTTCCCGGCACCATGTCATGTGCTTTATGTATATTAGCTTCATGAATTCTCATAACCACCTGACAAGCTGTGATTTCTTATTATACCAGTTTGAGACATGAGAAACTACAATTGAAAAAGATTATGAAGTTTTTCTAAGGTCACACGGATAGATTTGAAGCCAGGCTTTGAACTATGATGGTCATCAGAGCCTATGCACCTTAACTGCAGGTTAATCTGCTTCAGAGGAAGAAAAATGTGAGCTAGGTGTTAAATAATAAGAAACAATAAAATAGGAACAGTGACTCCTTGAGAAGAAAATAATATTGCTTAGTGATAGAAATATAATTAAGTATATATTAATCATTTCAACAAATGTAAATTCATTTACATTAAAATAGTATCGTAAAACTTTTCTAAAGTACCTATGCAAAAGTCAAATAATCCCTAAAATTTCTCCCCCTCCAAACAAGGGTAAATATTGACTAAAACAAAACATATTTAGTTTATCTTATTTGATTAATATTTTTAACTTACTCAATATGTGCTTTTTGTTATTTGTCGGTCTAGAAAATGATAATTATATTTTATGTACTCTGTTAAGCCTCTATATCTGTGCTGTCCAATACAGTGGCCACTAGTCACATATGACTGTAAAACATTTGAAATGTAATTACCGAACTTGAGACAGGTATTTTTAAATTTTATGTTGCTTTAATACATTGAAATGTGAAAAAAGAAGGAATATTTTTCCTTCAAACATAACTAGAGTTTTGGTAAGACTACTATTTATCCATTGCATCACATAAATATTATTGTTGTTTTGCAGTGTACATTTGGCTACCTGTATCATTTTTTGTATTACACATGAACACACAGCTAATCTAGTTGGTATCAACAGATTGATTCATTTAAATGATTATTTAATATTGTAATATGTTTAATTGAATATCTTATGCAGACAGTTATAGTGATACTAATGATACTTAGGTAAATCAAAATTAGTAATAAAATTGAGGTACTTAGTGTTATTTTAATTATACCGTAATTGAATTATTTGAACAATTACAATTAATTTAGAATAATGATGCAATACTGATGCAGAATCAAGTGGAAATGCTGAGACTGGCAGATCCAACTGGAAAAAAATAAATGAAAAAGACTCGGTAAGAGGTATGTTACAGATTTCATAATAAATGGCAGTTTGGTTTGCTACAGAACAAAATGTAAAAGCTGTTTTTTAATGAAAAAAAGAATAGTAATGAAGTAAACAATTGGAGTGATTTTCAGCAAATAGGGAATTTGATATATTTTGTCTTAATAATAAAAAAGAATCAATGAAATTATTCAAAAGAAATAAAAATTAAATTTGTAACAAAATATTTTAAATGGTTATTAACAGAATCTGATCTTTCAACTCTGGCTGACTATAAAATGGCTTAGATTCTTGCGTGAGTACATACACACAGAGTACCTATGCAAACACACACATTTTTAGGTGAAGAGATAGCAACTTATTACTTTATAAGTTTCTTAAAACAAAATTTTAAGTAAAAGAGTAAAATTGAGGTTTTTTAAGAAGTGACAGATCTACAATTAAGCCATCAATAACATTTGCTTATGAGTTAAAATCTTTCCTAACATATAAAGATCAATTGCTCCAACAATTTAAAATATTGCAAATATCTAATGAGTCATGCTATATAAGAGACGTGACTCAATGAATATTTTGGTTGTATTTTGTCTTAGAGGACTTACAAATATTGGTGAAATGTTAATTTGCAGCCTAAAACTCAAATTTGTAGAATCTTCTACACTTAACAAAGAAGTATTTTACCTGGATTTGAAAAATAAATTAATTCTATTATGAAGGACAGTATCCTAGTTATGTTAAGAATAATCCAAATTTATTGGAATTTTAAAACAAGAGATGGATATTTCTTTTATTGCTTAATTCTACCATGTGATAGATATCAAAATGTTGGTGCTCAGTGTTCTGAGGCAGATCCTAGGAAAGCGTCATGACTACCAATAAACCAATGCTTGTTGATTGAACTATGGAAATGTTTTAAAACAAATTACTGTGCTCTTGTTTTCATTTCAAGATTCCTATTACAACAAAAGAAATTATTGCCAAATATTCAATAATCATAGACAGAAAGATAATACCAGCATTATTTACATTCTCTCATTGGTATCACCCTATATATAAAAAAGCTAAATTTGGCACTCCAAGGAAAGGAGAACTCATCTGCCACCTAGCTAGATTGTTATGAGAATTTATGTTGACATTCAAATTTTTCATATACAAACCAAATAATAAAGATTTTATACATTTTCTACTATAAATCTATATGCAGAAGATTTAAATGGTAACCAAATAGTGTTAAATAAATTGACTAAGAAAGCTATAGAAAAAATTTGAAGAACATTTATTGATTTCAATACATTTAGAATTGTTTTTCAACTTACTCAATATCCTTTGAATTCAACGATGATAATACTGAGTTGACACAAGTGTTACTGATATTACTTGGACAGACAGTTTTGAAACTAATATACATTCACTTCATGGTGAAATAAAATATTCTGAAATAGATGATAATATTTTGAATATATTTTATTTAATGAAATATATCATTTAAATTTATTTCACAAATCTCTACTTTTTCAAAGTTATTACTTTTTTTTATAAATGATTGTTGCTTGCATTATATTTATATTGAATGGCACTACTGTACATCAGCTAAGGGGATTCTGATTGTTCGTCTGGCATTGCCAATGAATAGATTTTTTATTTCTCTTTAATAATATTTGACTAGAAAATCAGAGAAAATTATGCAGATTCCTTTTGTATACCACTGTTTTTAAATATTCAAAAAGCAAAGATAGTCATTACATAACTCTGGTTCAATATCTTGAACTCATAACTCATAACTCAAAGTCTTGAATAGTCATTCTTTGGACTTTTTCAAAGTACAGCACACAAAATTACTTTGCAAACTGAACAATATGATGCAACATGGAGTTGGAAAAACCCTATGTTTATTTATATGTAGAATTTCTGTAATTACTTAAAGGCATCTTCATTAAGTTGTCTGATTCTCTTGCGGATCAGTTTTCACATTTAAAATTCTTGTAAACCTTTTTACTTAATTCCTTTATCTATATCTGTTTTCTATACTGTGGGTTTTCCTTCCCATTTTACCCTCTTTTTACCTGATTAAAAGCTCTCTAAATATTTTGTTTTTAGAACTCAGTTAAATTGTGCCTATGTGATGACTAGGAAATATAGCAAGGGACCATTTTGTAAATGTAGTCATGGCTACATGTTTGCCTAAATTGTCAAGTGGGCTAAATATATACACCTGCTTGCTTTGTGAAACTCATAGGAACTATCAGGGTGCTACACAGAACCCAATATCACTCTATTTCCTTCTTTTCAGTTTTGTGGAAAAAGTGTTTGAAGCAGTAACAAAGCTCCCTCTCTCTTTGTATGTATAATGCTATGTTTCCACTGTGCAATGAGGGAATACATTGGGGAAAACCATTTTACTAGACTATATTTTTCTTAGTTACAGATAAAATAGTTCCTTTTCACACTTTAAGTCTTAAAAGACACCATGTTTATGTTTCTTTTATAACAGTGCAACTTTTCTGCTGACCAGGTCATGGGCCACAGCCCTCTAGTTTGCTACATTAAGCAATTTTTCATAGATAAAGATTGGGAATTTGAAACCACCTTGAAAGTATGTTTACCTTTTATTGAGCTCACTTACTGCCCCTCTGCTTGCTTTTCTTCCTTCCTTCCTTTCTTTCTTTTCCTTCCTTCCTTCCTTCCTTCCTTCCTTCCTTCCTTCCTTCCTTCCTCTTTCTTTCTTTCTTTCTTTCTTTCTTTCTTTCTTTCTTTCTTTCTTTCTTTCATTTCTTTCCTTCCTTCCTTCCTTCCTTCCTTCCTTCCTTCCTTCCTTCCTTCCTTCCTTCCTTCACTGACTTTCAAGTCAGGTGCCAATTTTTAACAGGTCTTGTACTTTGTAATATTGCAATTGGCCCTGAGTGTGTAGAAAGGTTACAATGTAAGGTCACTGATCTTGCTTTCAATTGTCTTCAGCTCATAAGTAGCCCCTTTGGCCAATATATGTTTGCACACATACATATGCATTGCAAACACAAGCACACACACAATTTATCCAATGCAGATCCTCCTAGGTCCTGTTGTTGATTTCCAATTGTGAATATAGTCATGTTCTTCATTTTAAAACATGCTTTGCAAAACCAAGATGACACATGGGAATTTTAGGAAGATATCCTGCAGGAGGTTCCTTGACATTTTCTTTTTGAAGCCTTGGGGATGCGTTAAATGACATTCATAAACTATTTCTGAAAACAAAGTTCTATTTTGAGAGCCACCAAATGACTTCCTTCAAATAGTTTCATTTAATAAGAGTATGCAAATTTTAATTATGTTTCTAAGGAGACTGTGCCTAGAGTTCTGAGAAAAATGACAAGTATAGCAGTATTTGCATTTACATAGTATTTGCTTATCGAGCTAAAATATTTGAATAAATACCATTATGTATGCCTAGATAAATTCCTGAAAGGAAGCATCTGAGTAACATGACCAGAGGGTTTAGTTTTTTCTGTTTATTCTTTTATTTTTTAAGGGGAGATTTTGTTTACTTTATGGATCCTAGAAAATGAGTAAATCTGCCTATCAGGAAAGAAGAAAAGTAAATTTATGTATCAAATATCATAAAGTAATAGAAAATATTACCTGTTAATACTTTGCAACTAAAAGTTATAATGAAGATCATTATACAATCATAAAGCTATCTCCATTTTTTACATAATGAGTCTGTTTGGTATTCATTTTAGTTCTACACCATTCCCTGGCAGATCATCATGCTATAACTTTGTGATTTATTGTATTATTTCATTAATATAATTACCATATTGCTGCAAATAGAGAAGAATCACTGCACAGTCCTCTTCCTGCTATAATTTGGATAAACTCTTTATTTCAATCATCTATCCCTATGAATATATAAACATTTTGGACTAAGTTGGATATTATTTTCTCAAATATATAAAGGAAAAACCATTTAATTATGAATACTACCATAATCCCCATTATGAATAAAGATATACTGATAAATCATAAAACGACATACCAAAAAAGCAACTATCAATAAAACATTGGTTACTGGTTTGATAACTTTGCTTTCCCTCTCTTTCATTGCATTAACTCTAATTTTAAATTTGGGTGCAAATCAATGTTATTGATTGAATGTATTTTGAAAATGTCTCATATATTCCTGAGTTTTATTTCTTCTCGCTCCCAGAAGAAAATAGACTAGAGAATAAAATATGAGATTTGTTTGGGGGGCATATTTAGTCACTGAAACATAACTAATTTCAAAGCAAAAAGATATTACATACAATATGTATGCATCTGTATATAACTAATAACTTTATATCCTAAGTACCTAAAAAATAGTGATGATAATTTTTGCAGAAAGTGGAAGGCAGGAACGATTATGGAAGATTGAAATGAAAAAAGTATTTTTTTAAAATAATGACTCAGAGAACATACCATGGATTATAAGATAGATATTACAGAATACAATCATAAAGGAAAGTTTTGTGAACACCTAGAAACATTGGAGAGCATTTTTTAAATTGGTTAGAATGTGTCAGGAGATTGTTGGCAATCGCAAATTGGAAAAGTTACTTCCTCAGTCCCAGATATGATCTAATACTTAAAATGACACCTGGTGGGAAGTCATTGCATGTAATAACAAATATTACCTCATACTTCTTGCAGGTAGATTCAATGACATAAAGGATAACATTACTGGAGAATGTGCTGGTAATGAGAATGTTTTGGTACTTCTGCTTTTTTGCTGCTGGGTCTTAGACACCATGATCAGAGATGTAGAAAATGGCTTGGACTGTAAAATTATACAAATAAAATCTCCAAACGAATGATAATGTTATGGAATCTTTGGGGTGCTGCTTTTCTCGGAAACTTGTGGCTAGTGGCGCCTTGCCCTAGTTTTGCTTAGGTGTGCTGGGCTTGTTCCATCCACTCGGCCTGGCAGTCTGTGCTCAGCTCACACTAGCAGCCTGGATCCTGTGCCTCTAAGGGAGACTGCGAAACAGGTGTGGAGTGGCCAGAGGTGTGTGAGCAAGCGTGGGGTCCGGCTACTTCGCAGTCACAAATGCCAGCTGCTGTCCTAGCGTGGGCAGCCCCAGGTGCTGGCATGGTTGCTGGATGTGGCGCATCACAAGCAGCTTCCCTGGCTGGACTGGGGAATGCTGTGGTGCCCGGAAGCTTGGAGATGCCAGGAACCACAGGGCCCCAAAGAGGGAGTCACAGCCCTGTCTCAGGGATCTCCCTGGTCTGGGCTCCCCAAAGGGCTGCAGCTCTTCTCTCCTCTTCTCTTCCAAGGTGGTTAACAAGGGGCATGTTAGCCTCGCCATTCAGTGGGTCCCAAGTGCTTGCTCTGCGACCAGAAAGAATGAAGTATGTAGACAAGTGAAGGCCGAGCAAGATGAAGAGAAGCTTTATTAAGCAATGGGACAGCTTAGAGAAGACACACAATGGCCGGCTCTTCTCCACAGCCAGGGTATCCCGATGAGTGTTTAGCTCCTAGCAGAGACGGTAGCTCCCCATTAGGCAGGTCGTCCCAGTAAGTGTTCAGTTCTCAAAAGAGAGGGTAGCTCCTCTCTCCAGCTGTTCTTCCCGACAAGTGTTCAGCTATCAGCAGAGAGAGTAGGTCCTCTATGTAGCTGGTCATTCCATTCTCTGGAGCTCTTGGCAGAGAGGAGGCCATGGAGTGAGCGGCTCCTCCATGCAGGCAGGTTGTCCCATCGTCTGCAGCTCTCGGCATGGGGGGTAGCTCCTCTCCTCCTCTCTGCAGCTGGTTGTCCTGTTGTCTCTCTGTCCTCTGCTCTGCTTTGTCTCAGCCTGGGACTTTTCTGGCCCTCAGAAGGGAGGAAGTGTCTGCCAATTTGTCCATGGGTAGCCATGGGCAGGCGGAAGAAGCCATGGGCCCAGGCTGCTTGCCCCAAAGGGTATCTGCAGGCCAGTGCCGAGCTGCCCTCAGCCCCCACCTCGGCTGAGGCCCCAGCCCTGCTCCAAGATCAGAGCGGGCGCCAGGCGCAGGGAAAGGCCAGGCAGCAGAAGCATACACCTCTGAGCTTGCAAGGGCAAGGGGGGGCCTTCCTGAGCCTCCAAGAGTGCAGAGAGGCTCGGGTCCACAGCCGCAAATTGGGCAGCTGCAGCTACGCCCAGGGGGTTGGAGATCCTGCCTGCTCCCGGCTCCCACAGGCTCCGTGGCATGTGCAGGCCCGGCAGTGTCCCCTCGCAGCCTGGGGCAAGGGCTTAAGGTCCTCTCTGGGCCTAGGCCAGCAGGGCAGGAACAACGTCCCCCCATGGCTCCGGTATTCAGGGGCGGCCCTGTGCAGAGCCTCCTCCCAGGGTGCAGGAACCCAGCACCCTTGGCGGGATGGGTGCAGTGACTATGCAGCGGGTGGGGTCCGAAGTGGGTGCTGCTCTCACTTCCCACCCCGGTCCCTGAAGCACAGACCCAGCTACGCCTCCTACTGGAGTAGCGAAGTGGGGCCAGGGTCTCCAGCTGCGGAGGCTCTGGGCCTGGGGGCAGGTCCCACCCAGCCACGGAAGTGTTGGGGTGGCACAGTTGGCTGCCTCGGGGACACGGGGCATCGGGGACCCATCAGTGCCATTGCTGCTCCTGCAGCCGCCCCTGCAGCCACCTCCCAGGCACCCCCCACTCCAGATGGCCCACCGCTGCCATCAATAACACAGTGGAAAGATTACACATTTTATAACCCAAATTTTGGAATTTAACAAGTTACCTATAACAAGTAATATGGTATGTACATTGGAACTGGCAGCCGGGTCCCCAGCCTTCAGGCCACTTGCTGGCCTGAAAGTGGGGCCTCTGGGGACCTGCCCACTCTGCCCAGGAGGCCATCTGCCTCTTGCTGCCCCATGGGGCCCAGGCTGCTTGCTCCAAAGGGTACCCGCAGGCCAGTGCCAAGCTGCCCTCAGCCACCGCCTCAGCTGAGGCTCCAACCTTGCTCCAAGATATGATATCTACATTAGATACCATATTACTTGTTAGCCACTATAGATTTTAGTGTTCAAGAAGCTAAATGTGAGTAAACAGCATGATGTGACCCCAACAAAAATGAATGGTTATTTGGTCTACTTTAACTTGTAATATTGAGAATCAGGAAATACCATAATGCTCTGGGTTGAATTACATTAAATTCATTGAATTACACTGAATTTTGAGGACTTCACTTTAAAGGTAACATATACAAACTGGAAAGCATTTATATGGCTTTTAGAATAATGAAGAGGTACAAAATATTTGCCAAGAAATATTGAAAAGAATGAAAGTAACTAACTTAAAGGAGAAAGAAACATTATTTTCCCTTAGTGAAAGAAGTCATAGCTCAAGGAGGTTAGGCAGCAGTGAAACATGGTTGGGAGGTTAGGGGATTTGTCCTCAAGTTGCCTTGGCATAAGAAATGCTAGAGGAATATATATATATATGTATTATATATGTAATATATATGTTATATATATAATATATGTATATATAATATATTTTATAGATATACTAAATCTAACCATATTACTAATTACATTAAGTGTTAATGGTCTAGATTCCTCAGTTAAAAGGCAGACCTTGACAGAATGGATAAAAATTCAAGACTATTCTATATATTATTAGGAAGGTATTCACTTTAAACTTGAAGAACAGATACATTGAAATAAATGGATAGAAAAAGATTTATTATAAAAACTACAAATATAATTAGGTTGGAGTAAATATTTTAGTATCCAATAAAAGAGACTTCAAGACAAAGGATTTCAACAGACTGAAAAAGAAGCACATTTATAAAAGAAACAATACACGAGCAAGACATAACACATATAGCTGAATAAATCTAATAATAAAGCCTCAAAATACGTAAAACAAAAATTTATAGAATTAAAAACGGAAATACAAAAACCTATAATTTTAGTACATTTGACATTCTTCTCTGCAAATGTGTCAGATAAACTAGTAAAAATGTAATATGCTGGAAGAGCTGAACAACAGTATCAAACATTTTACCCAGCTGATATTCATAGGAAACTACTTCAAATGACTGCAAAAAGAAAGAATTTACTTTTGTTTCAGGTGTACATGCTATTCACCAAAATAGAGCATTTCCTGGTGCAAAAAACAATCCTCAATAAACACCTAGTGGTTTAAGTATTTCAGAGTATATTTTCTGATCTTAACATAATTAACAAATAAATAATACAATATTTATGAAAATTACAATATGTGAATATTAAACATCACACTTCTAAATAATTCCTGAGTTAAATACCAAATGACAAGGGTGATTAATTTTGAATTGAATGGTAATGAAAATACAACATATAAAGATTCGAGGGTGCAGCTATAACATTCCTTAGAGAGAAAGATATATATTTAAATGCTTATGTTAAAATAACATGCAAAGTCAATGAACTAAGTTTATTTATTGAAAGAAATAGAAAAAAGTAGATTAAGAAAACCAAAGCTAAGACAAGGGAAACAATTATTAAGAGTAGAAATCAATAAAATAAAATAAAAAACCAGAGGAAAAAAAACAGTTGGTTTTGTGAAAAGGTCAATGTAACTGACAAACTTGTAGCTGTACTGAACACAACCAAAAGAGAGAACATAAGTCACCAATACATGGATGAGAAAAAGATTTCACCAATGGATCCTACAGACATTAACCAAATAATGAACAGAGAGTATGGTCAAGTTTATGCCAACAAATTTGATGACTTCAATGATATAAATAAATTTCTTGAAAAATAACTTACCAAAATTGATACAAGAATAAACACCAAATCTGTATAGCCCTATTGCTAATAAAGATATTCACTTTGTTACTAAAACCCTTCTCCAAAAGAAAGGTCAGACCTAGGTGGTTACTTCGGTGAATTCTATCAAACATCATAGAGAAATAACATTAATCTTACAGAAGCCTTTTAGAAAACAGAGGAGGTATATTCACTGTCTAATTTAGTTTACGTAGAGTTATGATGCCAGCATAACCCATAGTACCAAACATGACTAAAAAATTACAAAAGAGGAAATTATAAATTGATAGTCATCATGAAAACAGCTGCAAATAACCTTGGTAAGATATTGGGAAGCTAAATTCAACAGTAAAATACATAATTACCAAGTGTATTTTATCCTGGGAATGTATGTTTGGTATTAATGTCATTTACCATATTGATAGAATAAAAGAGAAAAATAAAAGAATTTCAATAGGTGTAGCAAACATATTTTAAAACGTCAACATACATCTATAATGAAAACTCTCAGCAAACTACAAATAGTAGCAAATTTCCTCAAGTTGATAGTGCGCATGCAAGAAAAAAAATCTAAGGCTAACAATATATTTGATGATGAAAAGATTTAATTGTTCCCATGACATTGGGGACCAAGAAACAATGCTGGTTCAGGATGGCCTAGTTTTATATATAGGGAAAAAATTCGTATAGGAAAGCCTAAAACTATCTCTGTCTTCAGACAAATGTGACTGTTTATGTGGGAAATCCTAGACAATCTGCAAAACAATTTTTAGTAAACAATTAAAAACACAATTTAAAAAATCAGCTTACAGTAGTAGTTCCCAAACATCTAAAACACTCAGGAATAAATCTAACAAAACATGTCCAAAATATTCACACTGGTAACTGTGAAAAATTGCAGAGAGAAACTAATGACCTAAACAAAAGGGGAGATGTACCATACATATGGATTGGAAGACCCAATATTGTCAAGATGAAAAATTTGGCCAAAATGATCTATAGATTCAGTGCAATCTCAGTTGAAATTACAGCAGTACTTGTTTTCTAGAAATTGAAAAGCTGATTCTAAAAATTATATAAGAATGCAACATGTCTTTAATACTAATGCAATTTTTACAAAGAGGAGCGAATTTGTGGGCCTTATCCTATCTGATTTTAGGTTTTATATTTGTATTTAGATAGAAATGTAGATAGACTCAAACATATATGGTATATTAATTTTTGATAAAGGCACTTAATTGGGAAAGAAAAATCTTCAAAATGAATGATGGAGAATGAACTCAATAGCTATGCAGGAACAAAATGAACATCCATCCTTACCTCACAGTATATAATGTTAAATCAAAATGGACAATAGATCTAAACATAAAACCTAGAATTGTAAAAATTCTAGAAGATAACATAGAATAAAAATTTTGTGACTTTCATCAGAGTCAACATGTTGTATTTTGGTCAAAACAAGGAAAGAAAAATTGATAACCTGGACATCATTCAAATTTTCAAACTTTGCTTTTCAAGTCACTACTAAGAAGACAGAAAGACTGCAACACACTTGAAGAAAATATTCACTACACATAAATTAAAGGACATGTAATATGAATGTATAAAAAACTTGCATCTCAATAATAAAACTAACAAACCAATTAACAAATGGAGAAGCAATTTGAACAGACACTTCATAGGATATATTCATAGCAAATAAACATATAAAATGATGCCCACTATCACCACTCAGAGAAATGCAAGTTAAAACAATGAGATATCTCATTAAAATTATAATGTGTCTGAGTTCATTGTAGATTCTGGATATTAGCCCTTTGTCAGATGAGTAGATTGCAGTAATTTTCTCCCATTCTGTAGGTTGCCTGTTCACTCTGATGGTAGTTTCTTTTGCTGTGCAGAAGCTCTTTAGTTTAATTAGATTCCAATTGTCAATTTTGGCTTTTGTTGCCATTGCTTTTGGTGTTTTAGATGTGAAGCCCTTGCCCATGCCTATGTCCTGAATGGTATTGCCTACGTTTTCTTCTAGCCTTTTTATGGTTTTAGGTCTAACATTTAAGTCTTTAATCCATCTTGAATTAATTTTACAGGAAATTCAAGAAAAAAACAAACAACCCCATCAAAAAGTAGGCGAAGGATATGAACAGACACTTCTCAAAAGAAGACATTTATGCAGCCAAAAGACACATGAAAAAATGCTCATCATCACTGGCCATCAGAGAAATGCAAATCAAAACCACAATGAGATACCATCTCACACCAGTTAGAATGGCAATCATTAAAAAGTCAGGAAACAACAGGTGCTGGAGAGGATGTAGAGAATTAGGAGCACTTTTACACTGTTGGTGGGACTGTAAACTAGTTCAACCATTGTGGAAGTCAGTGTGGCAATTCCTCAGGGATCTAGAACTAGAAATACCATTTGACCCAGCCATCCCATTACTAGGTATATACCCAAAGGATTATAAAACATGCTGCTATAAAGACACATGCACACGTATGTTTATTGCAGCACTATTCACAATAGCAAAAACTTGGAACCAACCCAAATGTCCAACAATGATAGACTGGATTAAGAAAATGTGGCACATATACACCATGGAATACTATGCAGCCACAAAAAAGGATGAGTTCATGTCCTTTGTAGGGACATAGATGAAGCTGGAAACCATCATTCTCAGCAAACTATCACAAGGACAAAAAACCAAACACCGCATGTTCTCACTCATAGGTGGGAATTGAACAATGAGAACACATGGACACAGGAAGGGGAACATCACACACCAGGGCCTGTTGTGGGGTAGGGGGAAGGGGGAGGGATAGCATTAGGAGATATACCCAATGTTAAATGACGAGTTAATGGGTGCAGCACGCCAACATGGCACATGTATACATATGTAACAAACCTGCACGCCTGCACGTTATGCACATGTACCCTAAAACTTAAAGTATAATAAAAAAATTTATAATGTGTCATATAATAAGACACACCCATTGGATTGGCTAACAGATAGCTGATCATACCAAGTGTTAGTGAGAGTACAAACCAACTGGAACTGTCATACAGTAGTGACGGAATTGTAAAATGGCACAGCTGCTTTAGAAAACTGATTTACAACATTAAAAAAAAGGTATTTCATACTAACCAGCCACTCTATGCATATATATATAATATTACAGAATAAAACAAAGAATAAGACAAAAAGTCCATATAAAAATTGTAATAATCAAAACCTGAAAATAACCCAAATGTTCATCAACAGATAAATGGATAAACAGATTATGTCATACCTTATAATCAAATACTACTTAACAGTATAAAGGAAGTTAATATTGGTATATATCAATCGCATCGGTTAAACTCAATATTACTATACTGAGTGAAGAAATTGAGTCTAAAAAAGTATACATGCTACATGTTTCCATCAAAATATGTTTGTTTGTTTGCTTGTTGTTTGAGATGAGTCTCGCTCTGGCATCCAGGCTGGAGTGCAGTGACGACATCTCGGCTCACTGCAGCCTCCACCTCTGGGGTTCAAGCGATTCTCCTGCC
This sequence comes from Homo sapiens, assembly GCF_000001405.40. Classification (NCBI taxonomy): domain Eukaryota; kingdom Metazoa; phylum Chordata; class Mammalia; order Primates; family Hominidae; genus Homo; species Homo sapiens. The sequence continues at coordinate 192,321,186 of NC_000002.12, forward strand.
CCAACATCTCGAGTAGCTGGGATTACACGTGTATGTCATCATGCCCGGCTAATTTTCTGTATTTTTTTTTAGTAGAGATGGTTTCACCATGTTGGCCAGGCTGGTCTCAAACTCCTGACCTCAGGTTATCCACCTGCCTCGGCCTCCCAAAGGGCTGGGATTACAGGCGTGAGCCACTGCGCCCAGCCAACATAATTTATTTAATTCAAAGTAAACCATAATGTCAGAAAATGAAATAGTTTTGCCTGGGGGTAGGTTTGAGGGGAGGAAGGAGATTAAAGAAAGGTATGATGGGTGATGAAATTATTTTTAAAATTGTGACTGTGGTGGTTATTTCATAGGTGTATTTATATGTCCAAATTTAATAAATTATATAATTTAAATATGTGCAGTTTATGATGTTTCATTATATGTCAATATAATTGACTTTTAGGTTTAGGGCTGGGCGCAGTGGCTCATATCTATATTCTCAGCATTTTGGGAGGCTCAGGCAAGAGGATAGCTTGAGCTCTGGCATTCAAGACCAGCCTGTGCAACATAGTGAAATCCTGTCTCTAGAAAAATAAAAGTAGAAATAATGAGCAAGGTGTGGTGGCCATGCCTGTGGTCATAGATGCTCACAAGGCTGAGGCGGGAGGATTGCTTGAAACCAGAAGTTGAGGCTGCAGTGAGCCAAGATCATGCTACTGCACTCCAGCCTGGGTGACAAAGACACTGTCTGGTGAAAAAAAAAAAAAAAATTAAAGTTTAGAAAAATATAGCTGTAAACTTTATTGACGATACATGGAGTTAATGAATTTCTACAACAATTAAGAATAGCATAATCTTTTTATAGTCTTACTCTTAATATGTGATTTTTCCAATGAAACCATTTAATTATTATTTCATTTATATTAATTTTATTTGTATTTAGGTATAATGTACAATTTATTTATAGACTCTAAGCCTAAGAAATACTACAATATCTGAATCTTTTTTCTTTCCCTCCTTCATGCTTCTATTTTCTCTTCCTTCCTTCTACTCACTCTATCTTGAGATGATTTTAAGTTAAACTGATTAATATTCTGAATTTAGAATATTCAACTCTTTTAACTTAAATTGATTTCTATAAATCATGTTTTTGGTTTCCTATCTAAAAAATTATTGCCCAGCTAAAGCGAAAGAAATTAAATAAGGTAAATAAGTGGGTAGATACACTGTATTATGGATCAAAAATTCAATATTGCTAAGGTACTCTTTAATTGAACAATAGATTCAACAGAATTCCAATCAAAATGTCAGAAGGATTTTTTTGGATAGAAATTGACAAACAAAAATAACTTTAAAAAATAACCTTACAACTTACATGGATAATGATTTTTTTCACTACTTTCTCATAGAAGTTTTAGAATTTTAAGTTTTACATTTAAATCTATAATCCATCTTTACTTATTTTTTGTTTATGGTTCAAGGTATAAGTTAAAGTTTACTTTTTGTTCTGACACCATTTATTGAAATCACTTTCCTTTTCCCACTGAATTACTGTTTTACCTTTATGAAAAATTGGTTGACCACAGATTGGTTTCTGGACTTTTTATTCCTTTCTACGGATTGAGTTGTCAATCTTGACATCAACTCTACATTGTCTTGATTTCTGTAGCTTTATAATAAAATCGTGAAATTAGGCAACGTAAGTCGTCCACGTAAGTTGTAAGGTTCTTTTTTAAAGAAGCTTTTTTTTGTTGTTGTTGTTCAATTTCTACCAAAAAAGAAAAAAAACTGTTGACATTTTGATTGGAATTTTGTTGAATCTATTGTTCAATTTAAGAGCACCTTAGCAATATTGAATCTTTAATCCGTAATACAGTCTATCTATCCATTTACTTACCTTCTTTAATTTCTCTCAACAATATTTTGCAGTTGTTAGTGTACTGATCTTGCACATCTTTTGTCAGATTTAACCCAAATAATTTTACTGTAAATTGTGTTATTTAAAAAAAAAAATTTTCTGATTTTCATTGCTATCATATAGAAACACAATTAATTTTATATATTGATACTGATTTTTACAAACTAATTTGCCCTAGGCAATATTTCTCCAAGAAAAATGCAAATTCAGAAATTGGAGCGGGACAGAAAAAACACCATAAGAAATGCAAGTTCATCTCCATATAAGGACTGGAACATGAAGGTTTACAAAATTGCAATGTTAACTTGTAGTACCATCAAACTGGGTAACAACTCAAATGTCCATCATCAGGTGAACAGGTAACTAATTTGTGCTATAGCCATACAATTAATTATTAATCAGCAATAAAAATCAGTGAATCATTTCTACATGCAAAATACATGAACAAATAAAAAACTAATTACACTGTGTGAAAGAAGTCAGATTTTTAAAGGTACACATTTTACCTTTCAATTTTTATAAAATTCTAGAAAACACCGTCTAATTTATAATGACACAGAGCAATTCAGTAGCTGTGTAGGGATGGGGTTGGGGAGTGGCGGGCATGAGGAAACTTTTGGGTTAATGGATATAATTCAATATTTTGACTAGGATGATGGCACACATGTGCAAAATTGTGTCAAATACTACAAGTTAAATATGTGAGGTTTCTTATATGTCAATAATATAGCAAAAAAAGCTGTAAAATTGCTAAGTATATCTCAGAATTATCAGGGCTGTGAAAAATGTAAAGGGCTGTTATAAATATAAAAAGAATGCACCATTAGAGACTTGGTACTTCTCAATCATGAATATCTCAAGCCAATGAAAAAAATATAATGACTGTAAATTTGGGATATCATTATAGCTTTATATTTCAGGAAACAATCACACTAATTGCATCTTTCTGATAATGCTCCCATGCTAGTAAAATATTAAAATAAAATAACACATCCAAAGAAATTAGGATAACTCATGGAAAGTAGAGGCCCAATTTCTTTATCCTTTCTTTTTTTGCCATAGGTATAATGGTATTTCATATTTATTGCATTATTCAAGAAAAATACTTTCAACAATATATACGTGAGTGACTGTCTCATGCTAATTTAACTTAAACACCTCAAAGGAATCTATAATGAACTGTATTAGCCATTTGCATTTCATACTTTTAAAAATAAAGTCAAACAGATTTGCATGATAACTCTAGTGATTTTCATTCCCTAATTACTCTAATAGCATCTCTAATGGTGCCAAATTTTCTATGAAATTATTGGCAAAAATACAGACTTTTAAAAAATTACAGAAGCATTTACAACGTGATTAGCTAAAATAAATAAATGTATACTAGTAAATAATAATAAAGTAAGTATTCAGGGAAGACCATATTCAGAAATATCATATATTATACCTTCCTTCATGATATGTTTCTTTTGAATTTTTTATAGCCAGTACTTCTGAGGCATTTTAATTTTTCTATTGTAAATGATAATTATTATCAGATTGATATAAATTTTATCATTCAAATGTGCTTTTATTATTGTTTTGCAGAAAATTTATCCCTTATGAATGGAAGATATCTACTACAGTCAGTGTAACTTATTGCACAACAACAAAAAAGAAATAAATCTATAATTTAGGTGTTTTCATTTCTAGATAAAATGTGTTCTTAAGGATAGATTTTTTTTCTGAGAATAAAGGTTAATCATGGATTATTTTTCGTGGAGATACGAAATGTAAATTTTTAGTACTAAGGCAACATGAATGTGGAGACACCGTCACAGTCATAAATCACTGGGTATACTGACAAGTGCCTGAGACACTGACAAAATTCTTCTTAATTTCCATAATTTTAAAGGGATAAAAATTCATTTGACTAAACATACAATATAGGGCATTTTGAGTTAGTATTTTGTATTAGTTCAACTACAATTCAAGTTAATGATTAAGAGTTTTAATATTCATGAAGAATGGAATTTTTTAACCCTAATGGTGACCCTTCTGTGCTGGCATTTTTTTTTTTTATTACCAGCTCTCAATTTAAAGTAGCTTCAGATAATTAGAACATCCAGATTTTTTTCCCTCTTTTCCCAGAGCTTAAGCTTTAAATTAAATTGTCATGAAATTGTTTGACACTTTTCTGAATACCCTATGGCGAGATGAATTTTATTTAATTTTTTGTGCAAAACAGACTTACTTTATAAATAATCATTATTCTGACTGAACAACATTTTACAAGCATCTTAGAAACCCAGTATAAATTGTTGAAAATAAATGACATTGAACAATTAGTGTTAAATTGATTTTTGGGGTTATTAATGTTATTTTTTCTCTGAAACAAAAATAGTAGAGAAATCCAGTTTTGACTGCTCATACGATATGGCAATTTTTCAGTAAAATATCCATAATATTAATATTTTCTAATAATCATAATTATAATGCAGTAAATATAATCTGTGATAAACATTTCTGGTGAAAGTGTAATAGAGTATATCCTTTTCTCTTTATAGTTTTGAAACTGAGATAAGCATGCTACTCAAATATTCATTTTTAATATAATATAGATAATCAGAAACACATATACTGCTCTGGCTTAAATATTTGGGAGGGCTCAACAAATTTGTTATCATCATATTCATTGAAAGTTTATATTGCAGTCACTATGTACCAGGATTTTTATAATTTGGTTAATGTGTATTGCCTCATTTATGTTATCCTAACTATTCTTGTTAGGCAATATTTCTCCAAGAAAAATGTATTCCTCATTCCTCATTCACAGATATGGAAACTGAAATTAATTATGCCAAGATTCCCATTGTTGTGATGCAAATCCCTTGTCTCTAAAAGCCATACCCTTCAAATTGTTTCCCTTCTATTAGGTTATAAGTGTAAATACTAAAAAAAGATGAATTTCTTTCTCTCTAGGAAATTAATATAAGGTAGTTGATTCAAACGAGCCAAAAGATGTGAAAAAGAGAGCTTAATATTTTGTAACCTAGTTACATTTACAATAATATACAATAACTTAGTGTTTAAAAGTAAAGAAATGCCTGGTAGGGTAGCACAGATGAGAGACAATTAACTCTGGTATCACTGGAGGATTAGAAGGTGCATGTGAAAGTCTCCTTGATGATGTCCCGAAAAAGCAGTGAGCATTGGCCACTCTAAAAGTAACAAAAGGGGATGCAACATCAGGGAAAAGTCTGTGCAATAGGCCCAATAAAACAAGACACCTGGGTTTTGCTAGCAGGCTCAATTCACCAGAACACAAAAGGACTAAGACTCTCTGTCTGCTAATCTTATTCTAAACAACTCCGATCATACAATAATTAAAAAAAAAGACATTGAGATGGGACAAAGCGCTCAGGGTATGTAGAGAGGAGTTATATGTATTGGGCAATTAACTTAAACTGAAGCCATAAGAAAGAGAAGCCATGAGATAGATGAGTGTTTTAGAAAAAAAGGATGTTGGTTCAACGGATTATAGATTCCAACTGAGTTCAGGCATTGATGGAATTGGGATATTGGAAAGAGTTAACTGGGCAACTCTTTCCCAAGAAGATTGTGATAAAAAAATAACTCATGAAATTAAAATTATGGAAACTTGTTGCTAATGATATGCTATAGTGTATGACTATGGTGACAAATGGCAGAGGTGATGTAGAAGACATGATCAGCTGAGAGAGAATTCAAGGAAATGAGTGGTCAGTTGTGTTGAAGAAACTTCTTTGCAGGTGTTTAAAATTTAAGAAACATAATTTAAAAGGTAGCATTTAAGGTAGGGCATGCTAGTACTTATTTCAGAACTTGGAAGGGCAAAAGAAATGTATATGCCCGAGGGAAAGCATATGAAGATTAAAATGGGGAGGAATACTAGAAACACAGTAATTTCTATCATCATTTTGCCAGTGGCTAAAAAATATGTGATGGGTCTGAAATTTTGCCCTGTGTGCAAGTTAATGTGTTAGCTTGACATCATTTCATAAATGCTGAAGAAAATAGAAAACTTCATGGTCAGGGACAGGTAATGTGTTATTTCCAATAACAACAGTAACCAATGTATCAGCATTTTGAGGCTTGTCCTCTGAGCCATAATCCCCTCAGGGTAATCCTAAGGGGGCAGGTGCACATGCAGTGGTTTTCATTATAGAAGAGGATCTGGGAGCTTCATAAACCTGAATCTTTTCTAACAGGCAGTAAATATACCTGGCTTTTGCTCCGGAAGGAAGCACCATCTCTATCTTCCCAAAGCGGTTTGCTGCCCAATGTCTTTGGAAAGATAGTACAGAATATATGTAGCCAGTGCCTCACCCACAGGAATGTGAGAGCCTCAGGAAGAATTGTCTTGCAACATTGACAGCTATGCCAAATAATAATTTATCTGTTTTCAATCACTATAGCTTATCGATATGTCTATGGCCAATGGATGCATTCTTTTTTTCTTTTCAATCAATGAAGAAACAGCACTGAAAATGCATTGATTTTTAAATAGCATATATTTATTACTATAAAATGACCTATACAACCCTTTAAAAGAACAAAACACATGTAGCAGTGAGTTTTTAAAAATGTATTATCTGAAAATGTTATAAAAGGGAACTGAAAATGTTATGTGGACTAGATAGTTTTTATGGTCTGACTGCCCTTCCTTTTCTTTTATTAAAGTTATACTATTTTTAACAACACGACACAGCAACAACAAACTCAGGATTTCCCCATTTTTCCTTAGTCTCATAAAGCATTCAATTACATTTCTTTTATCTTCATGTAGTTACCCAAATCAACACCTTGGTGTCAAGTGTCTAGGGCTGAAAATTTTCCTCAATGGTTTTGCAGATGTTATGTATTCACTATGAATTTTAATGGTAGATATCATTGCACTTACACAACAAGAACTAAACAGAAACACCATAATTGAATTGAAACAAAAAGCAAGTAGGATTTAGAAACAAAACATCTTAAGGGTGAAAGCCAGTCCCTTGAACACATTTGAGAAAGTGACAATTTTAATTAGGAACACACATTGTAGTTCAGGGAACACTGGCACTTCAACTAACACAACTGCAAAGACAAAACACCTCATTGTATGATCTGATGTCTTCATAGCTGAGAAGAAACATCTTACATTTTATACCGAATAGGACGGGTGTTCTTTACTTGGCATCTGATGTCTTTCACTAAGCAGTGGGTCAATAGCGCAAATCAAGTATAACATATCTTGCTGCTGATAGCAACTTCTGAAATATCTTATAATAATGCTATATTTAGAAACCACCTTGCAAATGGAAGGGTCTTGAGGGATTTTAAAAAACTTTGACAACCAATTTACAATATACGTATTATAGGAATGACATTGCTTGCTTCTGGAATACTGACATCTCTTGGGTGAAACATGACAAGTGATTAACAGAGTACAGCAACATTGCCAAGTGGCATAGAATTTTCCCCACTTAGTGGAAGCTGGGGAGGAGGGATCTTAAGATAGACAGAATATATGTTAACAATTAGTGGTTGGCTAACGCACTGGGGTCAACATTCTTACTTTTGAAAGGTGTCACAATTTTAATAAGCACAAAGAGCATTGAGCTCTTAAAAATAGAGTCTGTTATAGAATGTATATCAAATAAATCAGAATTTCATTTCACTGAGTCACTAGAATATTGAAACGCAGGTTTAAATTTAAGTGTCTTCTTCTCTGTTTTCAACCACTTAAAAGATCCGTTTTAGTAGATGGGCTCTTAAGGTGTGTATTGGCAAATGTCCTTTTTCATCAACAATAAAGGTCAACTCAATGAATATTTTTAGGCATTTGTAATGTGACAGACACTCTAGAAGGTACTAGGACTATACACATAAATAAGGCACGTATTCTGCGCTTGAAAAATTCATCTCACCTCTACATTTTCTTGAAAGTTTTTAATGTTAGGGTGTCCCAGGTATTATTTTAGAAAGCTTTGGGGCAAACATATGTTAAAAATAAATTGATTCAGTTGTAAAATGTTAGTATGGATATTTTCAGAAAAAAATTTAATTAGCCTCACTTTTAAAACTATAACAATTACAATATAACTGCAATGTGTATTTTTGACTAGTTATTTATTGGGTAGATTTTTAAAGATAAAATATGACATGAACAGTGGCCTATTACATCCTCATAATAAGTATTATAGTACCATAGTAAAAAATAACCAGGATGTAAAAGGAAATTAGGTGGGGTTTTTTGTAAATCTAATATTAAATAAAGTAGAAACTATTGGTGACATTCATCCTGAGTCTGCTTGAAGATAAAAACATGCTAAATTAAAATAAATTATTTTTAGTGTATGCAAATGTCAGACAGGAATGCACCTTGCTAAGGCCTCATTCTAAAAGTGCTACTTCTGACTTGATTTACCCACTCTGTGAATTCAACATTTGATGGCAATTATATGCTGAATTCATTTGGCTACTAGGGGAGTTTTTTGCTTAAGATTCCATTTAAAAATCACTTATATAGTTTATTAGGAAAGATTGAGCCTACATTTTAAATGATACATGGGAATATAAAAATAAATAGGACATTTAGCTACACCTAACTATTCCATTCAAGTTTTTTCTTTGTGTTTTGTCCCTGTGTTTCTGTGTCAGCTGATACTCCTTTACTGTGTTGTGACAGTGATGATTGGAATTAGGGTACTAATTGCAATGAATTCTTAGCACTTGCAAGAAATCACTCACTAATTCATCAATAAAAAGGAAGTCTTTGAACCCAGGGAGGAAGAAAAGAATCTTTTGGAATTTATTCTTCTGTCTCCTTCTATTATCCTAAGCCCAACTAGTATACTATGTTAACAGGCACTTTCATATCTTTAAGTCACCTGCTTTTGTCTGAAATGTTTGAGATGAGAGAACAAAGGTTAATCTTTGTGTGATCACAAGCGTGCAGGCAAAATTCCCCCTTAATTCCTGGAACCTGTTCATATGTTACTTTACATGGCAAAAAGGGACTCTGCAAATGTGATTAAGTTAAGCATCTTGAGATGGGGAGATTATCCTGGCTTACTTGGGAGGGCCCAATGTAATGACAACGGTCTCTGTAAGAAGGAGGCTGGAGAGCCTGAGTCAGAGAAGTTTATGTGGCATGTGTAAAAGGACACTGAAAAAGTTGGAGTGATGCAGCCACAAATCCAAGAATACTGGTAGCCTATAGATGCTGGAAAAGGCAAGGGGACAGATTCTTCTCTAAAGCATCCAAAAGAAATGTAGCTCAGCCAATATCTTAATGCTAGGACTTCTAACTGGCAGAACTGTAAAATAATAGATTTGTCTTATTTTAAGCCAGTGCCTTGGGCTATTTGTAATAGCAGTGACATAAAATCAGTACAGCAGGCAAAAGGAAGGAAAAAAGTAGAAAGGAAGGAAGGGGGAAGAAAGGAGGGAAGGAAGGAAGGAAGGAAATAAAGAAGGAAGGAGAGAAAGGAGGGAGGGAGGGAGGAAGGAAAATTTGGGTTAAATCTTCTTTGTTCTTTACCCTGGAAATTCATTCAATATATCAGTCACCTTCTTTTGAAAGAAGGTTCTTATAGTTGCCCAGAGGAGTCTTCATTTCACAAGATTAGTCACTGAAAGAAATTTCTTGTTTTTAATAATTAGAGAACTGGCCCAGTGTTTAATGGGGACATGGGATTGGTATTTTAGATACCCCTTCCATGAGTCATTTTTGGACTCATGGAAGTCCAGTCATTCATCCCAACCCATTTGGGATTGCTTGTGGAAAACTGTCCTATGAGTCTAAGACTTAAACACTTTTCAAGAGTATATCTTTCTCCCACCTGTCCCTTGAAAAATCCAGGTAATATAAAATAAAATCGTTGCAAAGTACTGAAATAGTCAAGTTCAAAGTCACAGCCAATTAAAATATGACTCAAATAGAGTTATCACAGAACTGAGTTGCAGACACAACTTTAAAGGCAAGAGCTGCACTTTTTTTTAGCTTAACAATATTAATATTCTAGAGTTGGATATTATCATGCCAAAATGGCCTAAAAGATTAATGAGCAACTTCAAAGAATCCTTAGTGACAAAATGAATTTTCTCATTATGTTTTCTTTCTTTTCTTCTGTGTTTTCCACATCATAGTTGAGAGATGCTCAGAGGAACAGAATGCATATACACTTGGCCAGACTTTTCTGTTGTGGATTCTTTGTCTTTGGAAGACTAGATAAAGGTAAGATTAAGTAGTAAATTTTAACACCTGCATCGGGTACTTCCTTCATTGTTTTTCTTTTTTCACTTCCAACTTGAATAATCAAACACTTGAAGAAAATAGACCATCTTTATTCTCTGGCAAGTTCAACAAATGGGTTTATAAATTACTGAGTGTTTGTACAAATAATCTGAAAATCTGAATGTAGAGCTCAGCAAAATTTGAAAGTTCTTACTGTGAAAGTTGGCAGTCATTTTCAAACCTTGCAATGTAGAAGATCAGTCTGAATATCTGATTAATATCAATGTATTATCAGTTGTTTACTGACTATCATTCACCATGCTGGATGGGAGATGGCAAAGGGAGGTAAGCAGAATAAAAAAATATCCAAATGCAGTGAAGAAACCCTGAAAAAGTGGACAATGGTAACATTCAGACAAGATGCGGTGATACTAGATGAATAATACATTATTATGGCATGGATACAGCATTGATGATATGGGAGTGGCTATAGATCCCATACATCACAAATCCTTTTGTTTTTCTTTTGTTTGTTTGTTTCTCAAATTCTATTTTTCTATCATTAGTAAAAAAAAAATAGTGTCAATGTTTTTGATCATTTATTGTCTTCAGAAAATTTCTTACATATCTAGATTTATTTTAAGAACAATGTTTTCCCAGCTTAGCTTTCTTCTGTTTCCTTAATTTTTTCAGGTTTAAAAACAGGTTACAAAAGACAATACTTTGCTTTGAGTATTTTGAATAAAGGAAAAGACTTGTATAAAACAAGCTGCTAGATTTTTCTTACAAGCAGGTGTATGAGGAAGGGACTTCCACTATACACTCATTTGTCTATGTTTACCCAGCTGCCTTTCCTATTTTCTTCCTCCTTTATCTCTGTCTTCTCCTTCTTCTCTTAGGCTAGGAGTAAGAGTTGTTGAAAAATTTAACACCCTTCCCAGTCTGATTGGAGACATGAGCAATGAGCTGGGGTGATAATAGATTCCTAATCTTTCAACCCATGAGACAAAGATGTCGAGAAAGCTTTGTAAAAGCTTCGTAAAATAATTGTAAAAGAAAGAAAATTCTAGACGAAAATGCAACTTAGTAATGATTTTATGAATCTTGTCAGTGTCCTTTCTGCTCTCCATTTCTCACAAATCTCTATCTCATATAAAAGTGTGTTTTGCTTTAAGACATTCTTTAAGAGGCAAAGAAAAAGTCAAGTATGGGAGAACTAATAAGGAATTTGGTTTCTACTTAGACTTGTTACTAATTGCTGTGTAATCATGGGAAAAATTACTGTTTCTAGTAAATGGAGTGAAAAACCCAGAGACTAATGTTAGTAATCAAATTTAGCATCCTACCTGGATCCAGTTTAAATAATTTACCCATCATCTTGTTTCTAAAGTGGTTTTATTAGGACCTGAAAGTAACTAGAGGCTCATGAGGATGGAGGTTGAAATTAAATGCACAAATGTATGTTAAATGTATCCATGATATACAATCTCCTTCAAGAATGCTAGGAATAAAAGCTCATGGAAATAGTCTTTAAAACACCAAAGTATCTTACACATATCAGATTTTTATTTACCTGAGAATTACATTGAAATACTTTTATTTTTCTATTTTTCTTTTTCTTAATATTTTATTAAAGACCAATAAAGACTCTCCTCTCCCACTGCAAATTTTCCAAAACTCTATTCAAAGAGCTCACATTGCTTCTGTCTAATCTCTTCTTCTTCCTTTTTTTCTTGAATATTTATTCTTCTCTCCAGTAAGTAATCAGCTTTTAAATATAAATCTCTTAGCTTTTTCAACGACTTTATAGCTACTTCTGCTTCATACTAAGATCCAAAATCTGATAGGCTAACACTGTATCTGAGAAGGTAGTATGCTTGAAAAGAAAGATCCAGGGAATATCAATGGATTCTCCTTAGTGGGCAGGGGAAGTAGATGCTATAATCACTTAAGCTCTGATCCTTCCCTCCTTCACTCCCTCCCTCCCTCTCTTCCTTTTCTCCTTCCTTCCTTCCTTTCTTCCTTTGCCTGTATGTTGTCTTCCTGCCTGCTTTCTGCATTATAATACTCATTCTTTTAAGTTTAAAGGCAAATTATAACTCAGTCATAAATTATACCTGGTCAAATCAATCACAATTCTTAGACTTTATTTCTCTATCAATCAAGCTATTGATCAATCATCTACTTTGTATAGCAATGTTAAGTTTTGATTATGCAGTAACCATTTTTCTCCCAATTCTTCACAGTGGTTAATATAACTTTATCTGGTTTGTGGAAATATGGAGAGTGTTTACCAAGGGATTGTAGATTTGTAGTCTCTGCCTAGTCCTGGCTAATTATGCTCTCATAAATATCAGCCTTAAAAAAGTACAGCTCTCCGTTGACTAATTTAAATAAAACTGCTGCTCTCTCTGTTCTCTAATGAGCTTAATTTACAAACATATGTCCTAAACTGGTGAATTGGATGAGTTTATAATTAGGACTGAAAGAAGTGAGTCACTAACTGTGGCAAATATTGGTGATGAAAAAAGTTTGGAGGATGTACGACAGAGACTCGCAGAGACAAAGTGACTTTGTGATATGCTATAGCTGTTTGTAAGCATCTTTGAAATAGTTCCCACTCTCTATCAATATTTTCAAAAACAACTGATTCAACATAAGAAAGTACGTCGGGATTAACCTTATGCAGGAAAGAAAGTTACAATTGACGCTGCTTGTGCAACTGAAAGGACTGTCCAATTTGTCCCTTGCTCACACTTTAAAATTGAAGCCAGAATTAAGGGCAGAGAAAATTTGTCAGTGTTTCTGAGGTAATAAACACCACTTCCTGTGTTTTACAAACTATTGAGAAAGAAAACCTGTGAGTAAGGAAAGGAAAATATAAATATTTGTGAATTCAAATCTAGGGTTCAATTAGAGAGTTTCTTTGTGCCTCTGGAAACCCATGAGCATCTGACTCTTTTCCTTTGCTGATGTATAATATATCATATTTCTCAACTTTGCCTTTAGCAGAATTTTCATATTATTTTTGTTATGCTTATTAAATCATATTATGAATATAGTTCTTTCCAAATTAGTTCAGTTGAAAAAAGTAATATCAGTTATTTCATGTAACTGTTATGGTTGATAATGACTTTAGAGCTTCTTACAGTTATATACTTGGCTCAAATACTACTGAGTGATATGGTTAAAGAGGATGTCTCTAATAATAGCTAATTAATATGATGAGAACAAAAGCTTTGTAGAAGATGGATGTAAAAAAATAGCATGAACTTCACAGGTGTAATAAACTTTTGAAAATAAGTTGTATATTGTTTCCTTAATTCCACTCTTTAAAGCTAATGTTTTCATTCAGAGCACTTATGAATATAAAACTTGTACAGAGTAAAATTATATTAATCACAAAGACAATACCTATAACAAGATTTCTCTTTTATATAAGCTTCGATTAAAGTTTGAGAAATGCCATTTGTCATCCAAGTTATAATAGATAAAAAATAGGATATCAATAGGTGCAAAAGCAAAGAAGCATGTATAAAAATCAACTAAAATGAGAACTTGAAAAGCTGGAGGTACTTCAATATTAGTGATCAGATAGAGATGCACCATACCAGAGGGAGGAAAAGTCACAGATGTACAATCAAGCCGCCACACAGCAGCGGAACCTGTTCTAAATCTGAACAGTAATATTTGCCATTTCCCATTTAGAAAAATGCCTTCTCTCAATTTTATATTCCCAAAGTACATATCTTCTGGCAATCTGTAACACTGTAGGCTCTTTGCTTGGTTTTCAATTTGGATTTTTAAAGTTACCATTTTAAAGCTACCATTGTCACCCAAAATTGATCTCATCTCTCCCTTTCATCTTCTACACTTCTGAACTACTGCTATAGTGTCATGATTTGATATCTGTGGGTAAAGCTTCTAAGAAGGAAACAATAGGAAGAAAGATTTCAGGGTAAAATGGTTATTGTCATTGAATGTAGGATTATTGATAGAGTTTGTGAAATCATTAGGATACAGATACTTTGATGAACACAATATTGAATAATTTTAATAAAATAAAACACTCAAGTTGAAATATTAATTAGAAACACATTTAAGGCTTAAATGTATAGTAGATCAAATTATAAAAAGATAACACAAAAGTAATTGCTATCAATTTTCGCTTTGCTATGTGTCCACCCATAAATGCATTATATAGTCTTATTAGATCCTTACAATTGAAAAACAGTAAAAATTAAGTGCATTTAATTAAACACATAAAATACATTTAAATAAACTTATAAATTGAATTATTTAAAATCTATATTGTCATCATAAATCAACACTCACAGGACAAGGGGATTAGAATTGTGTCCCAAGTATTGGCATATTATGTGTAAATTAAAAGAGGAAAAAGCAATGACAACTGAAGGAGCAATATGAATGAAGCTTAGGAGATGAGAATTGATAAGATGTTGAGTGAACATATAAAGAATGGATCACATAGAGCATGCCTTCTCAGTGAAAGCAATATTCCCCCCAAAAGGGCAAAATTGGTTTGGTGTAGAGGGAGAAAATCATAGAAAAAAATCTTAAATATTACAATGATTTGTGGTCCTTTGAGACCCAATTATATTTGACAAAATCTTATTCCTTAACATTTAATTGCTTTCATTAGGTAGACATTAAATAAAATTTTAATTAATTAAATTAAAATAAATTTTTTTTCAGGAGGGGCATCATAAAGACAAATAGATTGAGAAACACTGGTCAAAGATAGAAAATGTTTGGAAAAAACTTTAATGGCAATGTTGTTCTCATTTATTATAAATTCAAAAACAAAGAATTCAAGATAAAACATTCATTCAGGCTTCTTCAGTAGCACAAGCTACTTAATATGTTTAATGAAACTTGTTGTATTGTACTTTATGTCATAGGTATTTGTGTAAGTATTGAGGAAAGAGTCAGTCCATTGGTTTTATATTGATTGTCCTAGAAACTAGTCCATCTTAGGCCCCCAGTGAAAGCTTGTTGAGTGAAAAAATTCACTACATAATAGTACTATCAAACTATTGTCTAGTTCATATTTAAATCTACAATCACTGATAAATCTCCAGTTTCCCTAATAATTTTGAATTTTCACAATTGTAGTCACACTTTAGTTTGTTAAAATCATTCTTGAAATGGGTTGAACACTGAACTGAAAACAGTACTACTACCAAGGTCTAATAAAAATAGAAGAAAAAAAGATAGACATGCTTCTCAAAACTTTCCGTTTTGACAGCAGCCTAAGGTACTATTGGATATATTAGCTGTGACATTCACGGTTGATTCAAATCTAGCTTAATCTCAATGGTTACTCTTAAATCTTCTTTGTCTCTGCTGTTAAGCTATTTTTTTTCAGCAGCAGAGGTAAAATATTTGTTTAATAAATTCAAAAGAGAATACTTTAATAATGAAAATTTATCTTATTGTGTTCAGTCCAACATTCCAGTCTGTTTTTGAAACTTTTTTAAAATGTGAAACTTTCATCTATTCACCTTCTTTCAAGTATCATGACATTTGGTCATTTGATAAGAATTCCACTCATGTGCATCCAAGTGAATTATTAGAAATGATGTAAGAAATCTCTCATGGCATATCTTTTTCCAGGTTTACGTTCACTTATTAATCATCAATCTTCCAATAAAGCTATTTAATAAATTAGAAATGCACTGAATCATATTACCATCTATTGCACATGTAACAATATAAATCTCAATAATATAATGTGATACTTTAAAAAGTGCATTCGAATTGCTGAATCCGGAAATCATGATTGTAGCTGTCAACTGGTATAACAGTCGGGTAACACAACAAAAAGGAAAAAAAGGAACTTTAGCTCTCATGATCTATTTAGTGAGTGTATTTTTTTCTTAAATTCTTACAAACTATGTTAGAAAAGTGATTTATATGAAATATTATCATGTTTTGATATAATTCACCTTCCTGTGTTTCTTTTAAAGAGAAAAAAAATATGTGCAAAGGCTCACCTAAGTGAACTGGTAGAGGAGATGAAAAAATAACCTCCCTTAGAGCCAAGAGGTGCATGGAAGAGCACAACAATACAGATAGAAAGAAGAAAAAATGAGATGTCCAGAATAAAGTTCTCTTTTAATCAATAACACTTATTAGCATCCTAATTCTAGAATTCATGGAGCTCACTTTGAAAAATTCTGATTTAGGACAATTATTTTGCTAAAAAGTACCCTGGGGTAGTTAACGCCTCCCTCTTCTTACCTGACCCATGCTTTTATTACTGAAAATGTCAATGTGAGGACCATTAAAAGCTCATTTCCTACACTTTTCCACACACAAGAATTTTTAAACAATATCTGACAGATGGCTGTGTATCTAGTTAGGAATGTTTTCCCGAGAAGTTATTCCATAATCTTCTGCAGCCAACTGTTCAAATACCCAGCTGTCCCTCCTAATCAAGAAGTATTTATTTAGATTTAACCAAAGAAGAAATTAAATGTTCAAAAGTAAAAAAAATCACAATGATTCCTCAACATGTCAATCTTAACAACTGAACCAAGGAAAAGAGGGAGACATAGTTATTTTCTAGGAGATTTAGAGTCTTTAGTCCAATTTTGAAAATTCAGTTTCCAATTCAGGGAATATTAATATTGAGACTTAAAAATAATGGTCATGCATGTCTGCATTCAACCTGTCCAGAAATCTGTAGTCTTCAATGTATAGAGACAAATTTTGGAGTAGTGCTTGAATTTAAGGTTCAATGAGAAACATTTGATACACTTTC